>NC_000004.12:129224411-129527441 GCF_000001405.40 Homo sapiens | reverse complement strand
TGTTTGTCATCTGCGTCCCTAAAAATATATTGCCTTCCTCACATTGTATTATTAAGTACTCTTATTATTAATAAGCTACTGTCACTTAAAACAGTATTCTCCTTGGTACCTAGTCAGGTGGTATCTAACACATAATAGTTGCTCAATAGAGGTTTCTCGAATATATTAACTTTGAGAAACTATCATAGAGAATGTGTTTAGATAAACTGTTTAACTTGATTAATAAGTAAATAAGCCCACATTCTTATGTTTCTTTAATTCTTGTTCCAAATTATATTTGTCTTTATCCTCTAGGAACTGCTTTTGAAAGTTATACAATTATACTTTAATAAATTAGTGAGATATTTTTAAGTGTCTACTTATGCTGTGAATTATCTAGGTCAACCAAGCCTGCTTTAAGATCATCTCTCTTACCCAATGATAACACCGACATCTAGTGGTTATTAATCTGAATCTTGGTTATCTATTTCATTCTCTCAAGGGACAAAACTAGCTTAAAAATTTTGAAGTGCAACATAAGTACTGGCTTACATACTGTAGATATTGTTAGTCAAATTCAGAAAACGATAGTTACAATGGAGAGTATTTTTTAATGAATCATCTTCTGTAAAGAAACACGAAGCATGAATCTAGAATGTGAGCTGCAAAAGGTTTCTAACTGAGGGTCCAACTCAGTGGAACCCGGAGTGTTTTCTGTAGAACTCTGGTTCCACAAGGCCTTAAAAAGTATGCACAATGGAGATGCTGCCGTCAAATAAAAGAAATATCCAACTTTTCAACTCCACCCCACTCCTTTACCCCCTTTATTTAGCTGCACGGCACGTTGCACTATCTGACATACTATTTATTTCACTTATTTATTTGCTTACTGTCTGTGTTCCCCACTGGAATGTGACCTCCATATGGGCAAAGTTTTTACATTTTTTTTTCCTCCTTGAAGTATTTTCAGAACTTAGAAGAATGCTTGGCCTATAATAGAAGCTCAATGACATATGCGTGATTGAATGATATAAATTTGAGAGATATTGGGTTGAGCAAAACTGAACAAAGTATCTACTGGAGGAAGTCTCAGGGCCATTAATATGCTAATGTGCATCATGAATTTCACAGGGAGGCATGTAACCTTCCCCAAATATCCTTCCTCCCGCCCCGACTCTTCATAGGACAGGATTAATGCTCTACTGAGCACATCTTTGCAAAGGCTGGTCCATATCATGGACCTAATGCCTGCATTTACTCAAATTAAATTCTGTGGCTCCTGCCATACTCTATGGTGCTCATATCGAAATTAACACACTATGTAACACTAAATTGAAAACACAGAGAACAAATTGCACCTTTGATACTGAGTCAAATAATATATAGAGAAAACAAAACCTATGGCCCATGACTGACTATATTTAAATGATATTTATCTGAATCCCATCTCCTTCTGACCCCAGGGAGTACCAAAATAGGAGTTTGAGTTACATGTGAAATAAAAGAAAGAGATTGTCATGTGAAGAAATAAAGGTTACATAGAACAGCATGGCACAGTAATTGCTCTCATACATCAGAGAAAACACAGGCATGATACATAAGAAAGACAATCATTTCAACTGCTACTTATTTAAAGCAGCAAAAATCCTGTATGATAACCTTTAGGGATGATGCTTGCAAAAATACATAATGGAAGAATATGACCTCTAAGCATCTGAGTCCCATTTTACTTTAGCGAAGCCCTTTCTGTTTTATTCCACTCTTATTTTAGTAGCTGCATGGGGAATGTAGATGATCCTTTCTGGAAACTGATTGCATGGTTTTGTCATCACAGCATGCTTGCTATCTTTCATGGGGAGAACAGGTCGTTCGCATAACCATGCACAGTTTGTTAATCCTTAGGAAGGTTGAGAAATGCAGCATAAAACTAAGGTAGCACTATCCATTACAAGACAGAGCTTGAGTCTGCACAGAAAAGTTAAATTGCCTGTCATCTTTTCACATATTGAGCTAGTCATATAGACTTTGCATTACTATTAAAAGTGCTGTATATTTAACAGTCAATTTCTTTAAAATAGAAATAATTTTAAAAACAAAAACTTCTGAAATACGTCTGCTTTGTTGGCAGGAATTAATCACCATTAGTCCAGGTTTGACCTCGAAATCTTTCCGGGAATCCTAGAAAACAGATTGACCAAAAGAGTTCATCTCTGCCCCAGGACTCCTCTTCTATAATTAGGTGCGTGGCAACATGCTCTCATGCAGAGGAGATGCACTCCAGATTAGAATTTAGAACACCTGTGTTGAAGTCCCAGGTCAGCTACTAACTAGCTGCAGGGCCAATTCATGTAGCCTCTTTGACCTGTATCCTCATCTATAAAATGGAGATTGTAATTCTGGCCCTATCTTTCTCACAGGCTTTTGAGAAAATAGATATGACAGCATCTTTTGAAACAGTAGATACTATCCAAAGTTCTATGGTGATGAGAGGATACACATAGGAGACAGCCTGTTGTGAGAGAGAAGATTGAATTTGCTGCACTGGGATTAGGTAAGTCACCCTAAACAATAATATTGCCATTTGCCACTTCAATTAATCTATGAGCAGCCTTAATAGCAATTAGAAGGAAGCTCATATTCTACCTGGATAACCTTTTAGTATATTACATAGGCAATCAGTGCTAATTTCTTCTTTTGTCTCCAAACTGTTAACAAACCTACTAATAATATCAATATATTGATGTAAACACTATCAAATATGAAGTCATTCAATAATCTGGTTTGCAATGTTTGAACTGACAAAACTAATTCATTACCTTGGAAAAAAGGTTTTAGAAACAATCAGAGCATATTTCAAGAACAAAGCTATAGTGACTAACGTTATGTGTCAATTTGACGAAGCTAAGGAATGCCCAGGTAGCTGGTAAAACATTATTTCTGGGTGTCTGTTAGGGTGTTTCTGGAAGAGGTTATCATTTGAATCAATAGACTGAGAAATGAAGACCCAGTCTCAGAGTGTGCGTGGGCATCATACAATCCACTGAGGACCCAAATATAGTAGTGTGAAGAAATAAAGTTTACATAGAACAACATGGCACATTAATTGCTCTCTTACATCAGAGCAAACGCAGGAGAAAATAGAAGAAAAAGGTGAAGGAAGAGCAAATTTGCTCTCTCTTCTTGGGCAAGGACATCAACATTGGTGATCCTGGTCCCCAGGCCTTCAAACTCAGACTGGGACTCACACCATTGGATCCACTGCTTCTCACGCACTCAAGCTCACCCTGGAACTAGACCACTGGCTTTTCCGAACCTTCAGCTTGCAAACAACAGATCTTGGGACAGCCTCCACAATCATGTGAGCCAACCCCTCATAGTAAATATCTTCCCATATATCTATAGCTACATCTGTAACTATATGTAGATCTAGATAAATAGATCCTATTGATTCTATTTCTGTGGCGATCCCTGACTAATACAAAAGCAAAATATTCTTTTTTCCTGATCCACTCCCATTTTACTACCTAGCTCTTTAACCAGTGCCACCCTCTTCCCCACCTACTCTCCCCTTTTTATGCTTAACTTGAATAAAGGAAACATTACACTTTTTCTAGATTTCTTTGTGCATAAACCTAGGACTTTTTCTTACTCTGCCTCTGCAAGTTTTGTTAAAGGTGCCCTCATCCTCAGCATCATGCAGTATTTGTGGCTACATGCAATTGCATTCATTAGCCTCCCAAAGTCCTCTTCCTCTACCACTTTCACATTTGGATGGATCTCTGTCATTAAGGAATG
This sequence comes from Homo sapiens, assembly GCF_000001405.40. Taxonomy (NCBI): domain Eukaryota; kingdom Metazoa; phylum Chordata; class Mammalia; order Primates; family Hominidae; genus Homo; species Homo sapiens. Next base: position 129,523,667 of record NC_000004.12, on the reverse strand, counting down.
TTTTCTCTGAGCAGTCTTGAACTTCAGGGCACTCTACTCTGCTGTTTGCTACTGGTAAATGTGCAGTGTATCTGCTACACATTGTCTCCTCCTCACAGAAGATGACAACTAGGCAGGACAAAAAGCATTTGCTTGGCCTTGTCCCATTTTTCTTCTAAGGGATACAGAGTTCTGGATGAGTGTGACTGGGTATGGGATGAGGGCTGTGACTGACCATGAAGATCTAGATACAAAAGTAGTTACAAGGCTGCTCTGGCGATTGTGCTTGTTGTTGGAAACTGCTACATTTGATCAAAGAGTGGCAGCTCTAGGCAGTGGTTTCGGGTGCTAAAGTCACCATCATTAATTTCCATCAGCCCACAATACAATTCTAATTAATAGCAATAATATTTGATATGAATACTTGATCATTTCTTACCTTTCATAAAGTATAAAGGCATTCCTTAAAATTTTTCTTACTTTTGTTTATACTCTAAGTAAAAAAAACAAAAACAAAACAAAAAAAACCGAGTGTGTTTGCTCTGTACAAATAGCTGTACAACTTCGAACTAATTCTTCTAAGCGCTGCTCCCTCGAACACATCCCCCTAAAGTCTGTTCTATGTGTATATCAATTCTGAAGGTCCCTGTCGATACAGAAGTAGCTGTGACAATGATCTTCACGCTCTAAAAATTGAGATAGCCTTTCACTTTGTGTGGGAAAAGCGTCTGAGGTGTGGTGCATGGAGGAAAGATGCGATTACTTACACTTGAAGGTGTGACTCCTTACATTTGATGCAAAGTAACAATTAGAAAAGCTATCAGGATGCCTCTCTCAGGCGTGGCCACGCAAACTCTGAATTCCCATCATGAGAGGTGCAGATAAATCCCTGGGTCCCCCAGGTATCTTTCATATGAAAGAATAGTTTTTTTCCTAAAATATAACCATTGATGTATTAAAAGCTCAGTGAGTTTAGTCACTTTTTATCTTTCCCTTTAAATCTGAATGATTGTACTGAGCTTTTAAGGTCTGTGCCAGCTAACTAGGGCATTTTAGTAATCTATTTTTAATATGTACCAACTTCTGTTCTTTTCAGTTCTGCCTTAAGACATACTTTTATCTTTACTGGTATGCAGAGATCATCAAAAAATATAAGTTCTCCATTACATGACAACTCATAATGAGTCTTAATGAAGCTTGGGAACAGCTGTTTGAAAACTCTTGTTGAATAGCTTCCTAAGCAGCATTCACTTATGATAGCCTCTCTGCTGCAACATTGCCTGAATCTCAGAACTCACCATACATATAATGAGAAGGGTGAAAATGAAATCTTTCTCCAGTTTCATTAAGTATTTTATTTTCATCAGAATGCTAATACACTATTATAAATTAGTGCATTATGAACCATCAGCTTAATGCCTTTCACCTTTTTAATTATATTCCTTCATGGAGCAGAAAAGAAAGTAAATGTTACTATGCAAATTTTTTAAGAATTCATGTCCTCGGTGAAAATGAGAGGGGGAGAGAGAACACAGAACAAACTTACTTTTTAATTATATTGGAAACACGTTGCAACTCCAAAATGTTGAAAATTAAGCGAAGCCCAGATGATTTCAAATAAGATTCACAATCTGAAATTTAAAGGATTTTAACTTCGCTATGTAGGTTAATATGTGTGAAGAACAACTAAAACAAACTTCCAATATGAACTTAATCTCATTCTTTTTTTCATTTACACTTTCAAATGGACTCATCTAGCTTTCCTAATTTTTCTCTCTACATGTCAAGAGCCTTAGAAGAAAAGTTAATGGTCATGATAGTTTCCTGATCTTATTTACTCCCCTGGTCCTCGTTACATCGAAAAGATAGTTTTTCTCTATATGAATTTTTTCTTTACTTCTCACTTTAACTGATTCATTTTATATCAATTACATCTCTAGTTGAAACTATTTCCTCTTGCCTTTGGTTGAGTGGAATGTAAATGATCTGCTTGATGCTAAGTACGGGAATAAACCCACACCTAGCATAGTGCCTCGCACGGAGGAGGCACTGATGGTTTGCTGAATTACTGAACAAGTCTCTTTATCCCTGATCTTGAGAATATTCAAGTCTTTTGCGTATTTCTTAAATTATCCTTTTAGTTGCTAAAATCATGATGTGGATTTTAATTAGCCAACCACACAGAGCCCTGATGGATTTTCCATGGTATGCAATCACAATACACTGTGTGCTTGTTAGATATTTATGAGGCAGTCTGATAAGAATTTACCGTTCATTCACAGTAATGACAAATAGCATTTATATGTAATCTTTACTATTTTACTTCACTATCTTTATTCCTGAAAGTTTCCTGGTAAAATATTCCAAGATAAAAATATAGTAATGTTTATTTAAAAATAGACATTTCATTTTTAAATATGGGACTAATGTAGGTGTTTTTTCCCTTCTCCTTTAAGCAATCATACAAATAAAACAGAGAACAGAACAAGAAATAGAAATTCAAAGGAACTAAATGACATCTGTAAGTCAAATCACATTATATGAGTAAAATTGCAAAAAGGAACTGTAAAAATTAAAACTAAGTATAAGAAGAATCCATGAGAATGTACCCATGGCTGCAGGTCTCAGAGAAAGGCATCAGCACACTGTTCTCTAAAGCGAGTGGCATATACTTATTACCAAAATGAATAATCTTTCGTTTGAGTAAATGAAAATAGTATTCTCTATCTCTTTCTCTCTCTCTCTCTCTCTCACACACACACACACACACACAGGCACATGCAAGCACACATACTTGAAGAAAGCAGACTGTTTCTGAGGCAAGCTAGAGAGGAAAGATTGATTAATGTAAGGTTCTTTGCAGTACCAATTTCAATTTCCTAGGATCAATAAAAGCAAACAGATTTTTTAACACATTATTTTGTTTCATAAGGAGAATTACTGTTATAATGAAACAAGGATTGGCAAACTTTTTCTGTAGATAATCAGGTAGTGACTATTTTAGATTTTGTGGGCCACAGAGGCTTTATAGCTGGCTACGTCTGTTCCTCCTCTTATTTTCTTCTTCGTTGTCTTCATCTTCCTCTTTGTCTTCTTTTCTTCCCCCCTCCTTTCCCCTCTTCCTCCTTCTTCTTCTTGCTCTTCTTCTGTTTTCCTCCTCCTTCCCCCTCCTCCCCCCTCCCTCCTCCTTCTCTTCTTCCTCCTTCTCCTCCTTCTTCTTCCTCTTCTTCATCTCCTCCTTCTTTTTCTTCTTCGTCTCTTTCTTCTTGTTTTCCTTCTCCTTCTCCTACTGCTTCCCTTCCTTCTCCTTCTCCTCTATTCTTAGTTCATAGACTGTTCAAAAAGTGCAATAGACTGTGTTAGAACTACTGGTTATGATCTGCTGACCCTGGACAAGAGCATAAATCTGATATCTCCCTTCTTCACCAATAAAACCATGCATATAAATACTTGGTAGAGAAAGAATTAATTTTATGTAAAGATGAGTAATATAAGGACCCATAATAGACCTTTGTATAAGATTATTGGCTGGGTGTGGTGGCTCACACACTTGTAATCCCAGCACTTTGGGAGGCTGAGGTGGATGGATCACCTGAGGTCAAGAGTTCGAGACCAGCCTGGCCAACATGATGGAACCCCGTCTCTACCAAAAATACAAAAAATGTTAGTTGGGCGTGGTGGCACACACCTGTAGTTCCAGCTACTCAGGAGGCTGAGGCAGGAGAATTGCTTGAACCTGGGACGCGGAGGTTGCAGTGAGCCATGATTGTGCCATTGCACTCCAGCCTGGGTGACAAGAGCAAAACTCCAACTCAAAAAAAAAAAAAAATTATACCATTAAAACCTTTTAAAAAGGAGGAAATATAGGAACATTATATGCAAAATAATAATTTCTCATTTCTCATGGACAAGATAAAAATATTGAAAGATTTTGTAGAAATTCAGTAAGGTAATTGTTAGGAGGGGTCCTTGCTCCCAGAGCTTCCAAGATGGTGGCGGGCCATTTCCAAAATGGCAGCAGGCCACTTCCAAGATGGTGGCAAACCTCATGTTCTCTGACCTGGGCCTGGGGTTCTTGGCCTCACAGATTCCAAGGAATGGAATCTTGGGCCATGCAGGAGTGTTATAACTCTATTAGAAGCCATGCATCACAGAAGAGAACCATTGAACCCAGTGACTAGTATTCAGCTCAATTAGGACGAACCCAGGCACTTAGCCATGCAGGAACAATGGCAAGCCTTTAGCCCCATCGGGAGTGGCAATGGGCGACTCGCTGGATCAGGAGCACAGGGACACCCTGCGGGATCCAGAGGGATGGAAGTCGGCAGCAGGTCTGCACAGCAGCAAACAGCAGTGGTGGACGGCGAGCAAAAGCTCAGCTCAAGCCGTAACAAACACAGACCCAAATAGTGCAGTTGCAAGATTTAATAGAGTGAAATAGAGTGAAAGCAGAGCTCCCATACAAACGGAGGGGACCCAAAGAGGGTAGCTGTTGCTGGCTCAAATGCCTGGGTTTATATCCCGATCATTGTCCCTCCTGCTGTGCTTTCAGGCAATAGATGATTGGTCATTTCTTTACCTCCTGTTTTTGCCTAATTAGCATTTTAGTGAGCTCTCTGATTGGTTGGGTGTGAGCTAAGTTGCAAGCCCCGTGTTTAAAGGTGGATGCCACGGTCACTTTCCCAGCTAGGCTTAGGGATTTTTAGTCAGCCTAAGAAATCCAGCTAATCCTGTCTCTCAGTAATCACTTCTATAAAACAGGATCACAGCACAGATACTAAAACCAATTATAAAGTAAGCATTACCAGAAAACAAATTTTTGTCTCCTTTTTCACTGCTCTATTACTATGCCCTAAAACAGTGCCTGGCATATAATAACTGTTTCACACATATTTTGAACTGAATAAGTAAGCAACAAGGCAACTAAGAGGAAATATAAACTGATACAACTTAGAAAAGAGGATGAAGAAAAAGACTAAGCTGATCACAGGAAAGAAGGCCACTTTGGGAGCAGCAGGAAAAATACTAGACAGTTGGGAAAACCATATAGTAAAATACATGGAAGGCAAAGGATTCATGAAAGAATCAAAAGAATTGTAAAACTGATATGATACATGTAACAAAAACAAAAGATATACAACATTTGCATAGACTGAGTCCCCCCAAAAAAATGTTTAATGATAAACAGAACAAATATACAAAAATAAAATTCAGAAACTTTCCTAAACGAAAAGGAAATTTAAACTTATAGGCCTGAAGAGTGTACCCGGTACTACCAAAACACATAAATAAATGATAAAGAACAATACTTAGGCTCATAGATTAATTAGACATCAAAGATAGAGAAATAATTCTTTGTACATCCAAGAAAAAAGGTCAAGTCACTTAAATCAGAAAAAAATCTGGTATCAGACTTCCTTCTCTATGGCAACATTCAATGCTGAAATCCAGTGAAGCAATTAAGTCTTCAAGAAGATTGACACAGTGTGACCCAAGAATTTAATTAGCATTCACACTGTTACTCAAGTATAAAGGTAATAGACAGATAACACTAAATGTGCAATACTCTGGGGAATATAGTTTTCTAGCTGCTTTCTTGAAAAAACTATTAAAGGAGCAACTTCAGCCAACTGAGGGATGAGTGAAGAAACAACAGCAGAAGGACTGATGGTGAGCACTAAATTTATTTAAATGTAAGATTAAGACTAGAACAAATCTAAGGATTATTATTACAGAAAAGAATGTAAATGCCGTAAATCCAGTAGTGGAAAATGTCATAAATAACAAACCCGAACAAAGAAGAAAAGGAGGTAGAAGGTGCTATACTGACTTTCTCGTTTTATAGCTTAGAGTACAAAAACTATAACACACATGTACAAGAATATTTGATGTTGCATTATTTGCAATGCAAAATATGGACAGCAACATAAATAAGCATCAATACAAAATTGGATAAATAATTTAAAGCACATCCATACAAGAGAATACTGTGTCTATTAAATGAATTGGGCCACTTTATAAACTGATAAGTAACAACCTTCAAGGCATAATGTTAAATCAAAAGCACATTTCAGACCAGCATGTAGAGAATGCTACCATACACAAGAAAATACATCAATAGTTGATTGATACATAGTAAATGCAGATGGTCTCTAGAAAATTACACATCAAGCTGATATAAATGACTTATATTAGTCTGTAACAGAAACTGCCTCCTAGAAGAAATATTGGCAACTAGGTTATGGGAAAAGGAAAAAGCCATGTTTTTCAGTTTATACTTTTTTGTGTCTTTTGAAATCTGTGTGCTATGCCTGAAATATCTAGTAAGACAAAAATGAATTAAATAATTTTGTAGGTCAAACATCAGGCAAGCATTTCATGTTTTGCCCTGCCTCATATTCAATGAATGAACTAGAAGGAAACAAAGACAATCCAGAGTTTTTTTCTTCCTGGATATAATAAGAGTCAAGGAGCCCTATTTGGGTAAAATCATATGTTGGGAACAAAGAGGAGGGGAGAACATGCAAGTTTCCAGATTAGGCCAACGTGGAAAAGGCCAAGGAAATTTAACAAACATAAAGCAAACATAAAATCCCAAGGGACACAGTCAGAGAGTTGTACACAAGGGTAAATGGATTAAGTGGCCCATTTGACACATTATTCTACACGTAAGGCCTAGGTGAGGAGCTGCGCAGCTTGAGGTTAACCTCAGAAAACCAAGTAACTAAGGGGTTCCCATGATACTAAAACAAGATCGTTTTCTACTCCCATATTTTATCTTATAAAATTATGATGGAAACCCAGTGATATAGTTTGGATGTATGTCCCTGCCCATATCTCATATTGAAATGGAATTCCCAACATTGGAGGTGGGGTCTGGTGGGAGGTGATTGGATCTTGGAGTTGGGTGGCTCATGAATGGTTTAGCACCATCTCCAGAGTGGATTCTCTTGAATTCTCATTTAAAAGTGTGTAGCACCTTCCCCCTCGTTCTCTTTCTCCTGCTTTTGCCATGTGAAGTGCCTGTTCCCACCTTGCCTTCCACCATGAGTAAAAGCTTCCTGAGGCCCTTACAAGAAGCAGATGCTTCCATGATTCCTGTATAGCCTGCAGAACCATGAGCCAATTAAGCCTCTTTTCTTTATAAATTACCCAGCCTCAGCTATTCCGTGATAGCAATGTGAAAATGGACTAACATACCCAGTCTTGTCACACAACCACAACTGGTCAGAAACAAGTTTATTCCACTTTGTTGACTGTTTCCTCATATCAAACCTAGAGGTACCCCTTTGCTCTAAGAAAGAACCATATTGCTGGGTCCCAGAACGGCTATCTATCCTTTTCTGTTTTGATTGCTGTCATCCAATGAATGGGTTTGCTTTAAGTGCTTCTGTGTCAAATATTTAATTTGATTGGCTCCATAAAGATTAGAAGGAAATAATAAATGAGATTCGGTGCTAAAAGCCACATGACGTCTCAGCAACTAAAACCTAATTGGCCATCTGCTAGAACTGCTGTACCCGTTTGGGTCCAGTCCTTCTCAAGAGGGCTGTTGACTCAGGATTTTATGGAGGTATAAGAGTGATTGAAACTCCTTCATGAAATGAAAGCTTTCCATAGTTTATTATACACTTGACTTTAGCCTAATTATGTAAAACTAAATACAAATGAGTATGAGGTTGTAAAATAAACACCCTATGTCTATTCATAGAAACCTGATGAAACGCCTTAGTTCAGGAAAAGAATAGTCTTTGTTTTAGTTTTTTCTTGATTCTTCCACTTGGACTTTTTGATTTTCACTTGTATCTCAATATCTTTTTTGTCCCACTTTTATTCATACTAGTATGTCATTTTATTCTGTCAGTGAACTTACTACTTCAAAAAATCCTTTTTCAAAACATAATTGCTTATATATCACATTAGGTTCTGAGTTTTTATCAATTGTATCTCTAAGGAGACTTTGGTTTCCTTCTTTCTGTTCTCAAAAGTAATTGCTGCTTGTGACCTGTGAGTGGTTTCTCTTCCACTAAATGTGGAAAGATTCCACTTGTAGCTTTCCAAGTCTAGGTTGAAGAGTCCACATTTTCTGTCCACTTTCCTCAAGGAAATGCTTGTTACTCATTCTTCCTCTGATATGAAGAAGGGAAATGTCACATCCTGGGTTCGGAACAAAACTGCTTAATTAAAGTGTGAAGGAAAACATATTTCCCACAGGCATGAATCATAGACTCTAACAGACTTCCTGAGTATCCAATATAAACTATAATCTCTGAGCAGGTACTGGGGCTATGGATGTTTAGCTACTTACAATTGTCTACTATTAAAACACTTTTATTGAAATATCTATTTAAGTGTCTTAGTTGTCCATTCCATCCTATATGTACAAATACAACCCTAGCAAAAAATTTAGTTTATATGTATGCTGTGTAGTATTTCATCTAAAAACCAACATTTCAATAAAATATATATTAGAGAAATATCAGATATATACATATACATAAAATAACATATTTAAGAATAAAACTGGGAAACTGTTATTTTCATTTTTGATTATCAATAACTCTATACCATTAGGGTTTTATAAACAAGACTAAAATGGAGATTCAGGGTGGAGATAGAAACCTGCATAGTAAGCAGTTATTAAGCTTCATTTGAGAAAAGGCATCATAAAACATACACTTCCCATCTTCCATCTTTAGCTGCAGGGAATGGTGGTGGTTTAAAAAACAAACATGTCCAGGCCTGGTTGCAAATTAAAATGTCTTCTCATATTTAAAAGAAGCAAATTACTTCTGGGATGAAAGCATTGAATAATTCCTGAATAGCAAGTCCAGTCTTCATGGTAACTTCTTAATATAAATCACACATTTTAATGTGTTAGCTTACATCTCCATGCTTTCTTTTATTCATTTTTTGCTTGTTTTATAAAGTATACAACAAACATTTAGCTCCAATGCTTTATCTTAGTGTAGATTATTGAAATTATCAGCATTCTTTACTAATTTAAAATTTAAAAGTGGAGTAAGGGAGTGTGTGTGTGTATAATAAAGAAATTTTAACTATTAATGCACAAAAATATAAGATATTTTTAAATCAAAACACTTTGGATTCTACACAATTTGCTTTAATATCTGCACAAAAGAATGGAAATCAACAGTTATAACTGTATAACCTCTACAAAGAAAATGCATATTGTTTTATTTCTATCATAAGTCTGTAGTTCTTGATAGCATCATTGACATTCATATCCTCCATAATCAAACACAGTGTCTTATGCACAATAGACACTTAGTATTTTTGGTAAATATAATTAAATGTAAATTATTTGATTCCAGGAGCAATATTTAGGGCAAATGTAAGAGAATCTATTTTTCTCTTTTAATTTCACGGACAATGATAACAACACACTGACATATACATGAAAATGCATATATACATGCACATGGCAAATACATTAAAAATCATTATTTTTCCTGGTGTATTAACAGTTTCCCATAGAACCTTCCTTCTGATTTGGTTTTCTACATGGCTTCATATTTTTCCTTCCTTTTTTTTTTTTTTATTTTCCTACTCCTGGACTTATCTGGAACTCCTAGCAGTCAGTGTATTGTTATTGTTGTCACTGGCATTAGAACAGAAAAGTAGACAGCCATACTTCCTGTGATATCTATAGGCCTATCTTTATATACTGCCCCCCTATTTGCTTACTGTTGCATTTGAAAACCATGTAGAAGTGAGTATCTTCTATATTAATCACAATATACCCAACTCATGTATGATTCCCTCTGAAATAGAAGTTTTATCTATAAAAATGCTAATGGTCCAAAAATGCATAAATAGAACAATAATAACTATTGACAACCACTTCAATGACTTGAGAAAATTGTGAGCTTATTGGGTGTATTAAAGGAAAACTAAAAATGATATATGAAGCAATATGAAGACAATTTCTATCACAAATGAAGTACTCAATGATTAAGAAGAAAAAAAGTCAGCCAAGGAATACTGCTAAGGAAATTCAGAATTCAAGATTTGATTGGGTTCTGCAGTTCCATCCTAGACATTAAAAAACAGACATTATCACATCTGTGTGACATTAATTTGACTCCAATACTTCTTACAACAAAGACATGAGCTATATGGGAGACACAATGAAAAATGAGAGACACTGCTGATCGCAAAATACAATTGTTAAAGTTTTCAGGAGTGTTTTTAATTATAGATAGCAATCATAACGAGAGCAAATGAAAAAAAATAAGAATGAGCAAGAAACTAATCTTTCTAACATGACTTGGTCCTTGAAGCAGTGTAGATTATCTGAGGACATTTGGAACTTTCTTCCTGCCTTCAGATTCTATTGAGGAAAACCTAAGGACTAGAAAATCTAGTTATAATCTAGGTTTCCACTAAATCGTTGTATAACATTAAGCATCACCTCTTTAGTTTTCATCTTTGCTAAAAAAAAGAGATGATCCTCTCCAAATATGCTTTTCTTATTAGACAGCTTTCACTACATAAATTCAAAGATGTGGAAATTACAGTAATGATCCAAGTGATTTTATTAGTGTAGTCTGCCTGTCGAGGTGGCCTGGGTGAACATAAATCCTTTTTTCATAAATAGAGTTTTTAAATGCCTTTGTTATCCATGTAATTCTTGAAATTATCCTTTTATAACTCTAAATAGACAGCATCAGACATAGAGCAGTTTAGATAGTCACTCAGGAAAGTACGCTTCTGCTCTGCCTGCAATGGTCAGGAATATTTTTCTTTTATAAACGCCTGGAATTGTTTATACTTCCTGTGGTATCTATAGGCCTATCTTTATACACTGTCTCCCCCTTTGCTTACTGTTGCTTTTGAAAACTATGTAAAAGTGAGTATCTTCTACATTAATCATAATATACCCAACCCATGCATGATTACCTCTGAAATAGAAGTTTTATCTGTAAATAATGCCCAAGGAAAAACAAGTAATTTTCTTTAGGTGAGTTTATTGGTAAATTTATGTTTAATATGGTGACAGAAAATTCTTGTTTACCAGAATAAAAATAGGTAAATTTAAGAATAAAGAACCATATATAATTTCCAGCTATAAAATGGAATTGCTCATTCAATTAATTTTTCCTTTGGCCTTTGATTTAGAAATAGTGGTGGATGCCTGAAGTAATTTGAACCTATCTGGAATAATGAAATGATATGTCCACAAAAGCTTGGTATTCCCCAGTGCAAAAGAAAGTCAAATTGGAGGTAAGAAGTTTCTGGAGCAACAATGGCAGTACATGTGACAGGAATGTATTTTTTTCAATGGAATAGAGATGAGACAGCGAATGGGTCTCAGCAAAATGGTTTAAAACAGCACCATTCGATGTCCAAGAGAAATATCATGCAAGCCACATACAAAACTTTAAAGTTTGTACTAGTCAAAAATAGAAACACGTGAAAGAAATGGTAACCATGTATTTTATTTAAGCCAGTATATACAAAATATTATCATTTTAATAAATTAATATTTTAAGTTATCACAGAGATATTTTATATGTTTTTACTAAGTCCTTGAAATCCAGATGTGTATTTTACACTCACAGCATATTTTGATTTGGACTACATACTTGTAATGTACTTGGTAGCCATACATGACTAGCAGTAATTGAAATGGGCAGCAGAGTCTCACTAAGTCAGGACACACACACCAATCCCACTCCTCCCTCATCGAATTATTATACACAAATATTCTTCCCACCTCTCCCACTGAACATGTTATTCCAGAGATTTCTATATGTATAAGATAAATGTTTAGTTAATTTTGGAAAGATAGTTAAGATGGTTATTATCAGTAGTATTAGTAACGTTTCTTCATGAAGTGCATGGGGCATCTTGTTTCCCAACACTGGATGGACACAAATTTAAAAAAGATTTTAACCAGGCACAGTGGCTCACACCTGTAATCCCAACGCTTTGGGAGGCTGAGGCAGATGGATCGCCTAAAGTCAGGAGTTCCAGACCAGCTTGACCAATATGGTGAAACCCCATCTCTACTAAACATACAAAAAAAATTAGCCAGGTGTGGTGGTGTACGCCTATAGTCCCAGCCACTCGGGAGGCTGAGGCAGGAGAATTGCTTGAACCCAGGAAGCTGAGGTTGCAGTGAGCCGAGGTCGTGTGGACTGCACTCCAGCCTGGGTGACAGAGTAACACTCCATCTCAAAAAAAGAAAAAAAAAGAAAAAAGTTTCTACCTTCATTCACTGGGCCTGCCTTACTTTAGACACATAAATATGGCCTTATTGCTTAATGGATATTATTTGACTCTACAGCAGATTATAATTTTTCAGCCATCAATGCACGTATACCAAAAAGTATTTTTATTTGTCTATAATTTATATCTCTATTTCTATAGTCTCATTATTTCCAAACCACAACTGTGCATTGAGCACTTACTATGTGCTAAATTTTGCTATAAGCAATAGGAATGGTAATAATCCCTACTCTCTTGGAGCACATTCTAATGGAAAGGACACAGATAATATAATATGCAATATATAGTGTGCTAAGTCAGAAATTGTTTGCTTTCTCTCAAGGACTACATCTAAAAGTTTATGTAGATCAGACACTTTCTGACAGTGCCTAGGTTAGTGCCTGAAACATAATAGGTGTTCAATCGATGTTTTTTAAAATAAATAACTAACAAGGGGCCACTCACCTTCTGTCATTGCCTGTCTGCATGACATCCACTGAAATATAAACATCATCCCATCTGGATCTCAGCTATTGTCACACCTCACCCCCCAGATTGGCATCCACTGAGATAATCAGAATCTCAGTCAGTTCTTTGGCCATGAGGTCCAATCCACCATCTGTCAATGAGACACCATCACATGCCTTCGCTTCAGGTCTACTGCTCCCCACTTCATTGTACCTTTCCAGAAGCATATGCCTATTTCCAGGTGTATGTCCATGACTATTTGCAGATCACAGGATTTGCTGAGGCTACCTGAGTTACCTTTGAACAACTCTATCACTTGCTTCCTTGCCATGGTGCCTCCAGGTTTCTAAATGTAAACTGGACCATAGATTCACTATAATTTTGGGATCTAGAGATACAGTTGGTATCACCTCTTTCACCCTTCTCAAGAGTTTACTAGGAAGGGTGGGAGTAGCAGAGCACAGATTTTCTTTAGAATGCTCAACTATATCTAACTTTCTTGCTTCCCCATTTTACCCAAAGAGGACTTTTATCTCGTTTTCCAGGGAGGTGAAAAAAATTATTGATTGATGAAATATTTAATCCAATTTCTTAAATTATTCATGGACTTCCTATATAATCAATCTCATTCAGCTTAGGGGAACCTTATGCTTTAGAAAATGGTACTGTTGGCTGGGTGCAGTGGCTCAAGCCTGTAATCCCAGCACTTTGGGAGGCCGAGGCAGGCAGATCACAAGGTCAGGAAATCGAGACCATCCTGGCTAACACGGTGAAACCCCATCTCTACTAAAAATACAAAAAATTAGCCAGGCGTGGTGGCGGGTGCCTGTAGTCCCAGCTGCTCGGGAGGCTGAGGCAGGAGAATGGCTTGAACCTGGGAGGCGGAGCTTGCAGTGAGCTGAGATCGCACCACTGCACTCCAGCCTGGGCGACAGAGCACGACTCTGTCTCAGAAAAAAAAAAAAAGAAAAAGAAAATGGTACTGTTTTTCTTTCTGTTTCAATGCTTATTTATAATGACTGATTTGTTTGATACACTGAGGATAAATAGGGGGAAAACCAGCCAAACAGAAAACCATGTTAGCTCATACTGATTTTTCATGAGGTGGCTATGCCTTCTGTTCCAAGTAACACTGGCTGAAAGAAACAACACTACTCAGTTGAACATATGACCACGGAAGAATACACAAAACATTCATATATCTCATTTTTATTCTTACTCTTAACTCCATTTGTTTTTACTGTACATATGTTGTACTACAGGTATATATTATAACTTTTGAGTTTACTTACTTTTTCTATGAAAAATATTTTAATAAGACAACCCAAATATGATAAACATCTAAAAGCCTTAGATACTGATGAAAATTTAAAGTAATAAAACTTTTTGAAAGAAATGGGAGAGCACATGACAGCTCCAAACAAACAGGACTGAGGGAATCCACAGTGCACAGCTTCAAAGGTAAGGTTGGGAGTATAACTGAAGCAAGAGATAGATGCAACACAGTTACTGTCTGTTTAAGGGAGACTGAAAAGTGCTGGAGCAGGATAGAGGACACCAGCCATAATGCTGCCACAGAAAGGCACCACTAGGCATCCAGTCTCATTTGTAGGCACAAGCAACAGCCATCTGTGCCAAATCCAGTGACACAATTTTTGCCTTAATGATGATGTTGTTCCTCCTTCCATTTCTTCATGATACCCAAATGCCACATTTCACCACGTTTATTCATACCAAACAAACTTAATATCTATTCTCAAAATAAATTTCAATACTCATCTATTTACTGTAGTAGTATATTTACTTGGAATCTAAGCTGCTTAAAACTTTAATAGGATATTATATTTTTATCGAGTCTACTTAAATGACTAGAATTTCTATTTCTCTGCAATCCTATTTTTATTGCATAAAATTCCATATTATAGTGATTTTTAAAGAACATACATAGTCATTATGGGAGAAAAGACTCTATATTTAAAATTCTAGTATATTTAATTATTTCATTTTTCCATCGCTATTCCCCTTTAGATCTGTCCTGCTGGATTCTCATGTCATCTTAATAATGTCTAAGATGATACTACACACTACACAATAAAGCTGTGTTGCTTAAATAATAATTAACCCATAAAACATAATTTGTTTCAGTAGAATATATGGATTATCCTAGGCTCAAGATGTCAAGTTTAGAACACCTAGAATATATTTTAACACTAATACTAATGGTTGGCCCTTTATTATTATATCCACTCTAAAATAAGCCTCTAATGTTTTGATGATAAAGAGCTACATTAGGTTTTCCTAAAGTCTGGAGTTTGTTGAGATGATAAAGACAGCACTGATCACTCAATGCCTGGGGCATGGGAGGGGATGTAAAATAGAAAAGAAGAATGTGAAGAAAAAAAGCAACCATAGGGTAAATGAAATAAGAAGAGATTATTCACAAAAGGAAAAGGAAGAGGATATCACCAGTTTCTAGCCAGAATTCTTATCTGCTGGAAATGTCAGCAAACTGTGAGAAACAAACAGGAAATTATGGTGGCCCATATCCTTCGAGTGTCATGCTTAGCTAGCATTTGAATATCATATAAGAGTTTACAACATCTATTTAACTCATCATCTCCTTTAATTCTAAGTTAGACAATGCTAATATCATCCCCAATTCAGGATACTTAGTGAAATTAATATCAGTTCATATGTGACAGTTAGGACTAATTCAGATCTGTGGACTCTAATCATGCACTTCTACTCATACCCCACACTCTACTGCCAAATAGATATCAGTTGACCTACTGAGAGCCCTCTTCTGCTATAATTGTCATAGACAATATTCCATAAAACTAACAACATCTAAAGTATAAGAACCTTAATGGTGACTTGTTTGTTGGCACAGATTTTTCCCCCCAAAATTTCTAAAGTAATATAGATTACTTTTTCCTTGTTTCTGCTAAAAAACTCTATGCTACTTTCTTATTTTCAAACAAATCAAAGATCTTCTCACTTTAAGACACTCAGAATTTTTAAATCTCAAATTATAATGTAAGAACTCCATCAGTGAAAAAAAGGATATATTCTTAAAGCCTTAGCTGACCTTTCTACCTAAAGACAGATATACAAATGTAAAAGAATGTGAAGTCAATTCAGCTTTTCAGTTTTCATCTGGATATTTGGTATTGGCAGGGTCTACACATAACAAAACAGTTGATTCAGCCAACTCAGTAGCAAAAACAAGAAGTCACAATTGGTCATGAGTTATACACACCAAATCATAACTAATGAGAATTTTGCTAATCAACCAGTTTTCAAGGAGCCTTGAAAATACAGCCTAATCAGCATACAGCAAAGTTCTTATATCATAGATGCACTTGCCTATTTCAAAGAATTCTATAGCAATTGTAGAAAAGAGAAGTCTATTTTTGTATGCTAGCATGTATTGGAAAAAAATCCAGAATGATTAAGTCTTCTGGCATGTATTTTAGCTATTACAGCTGTTTGCAATATATATGTGCTACATCTATATTTGAAATCTCTGCTGTTGCCATTCACCATCTGCCCAAAGATGGGTGAAAATGTCTATGGTTTTTGTTCATTGCTTATGAAATTGCACATAGCAATTTGCCAAACCTGTATTATTTTTCCAAGTCTTTTTCAAGCATGTAATCAATATCCTTGGAATGTTAAAGTAAAAACTTTAAAGTCCCTTAAGGCCACAAATATAAATTGTCTTTTAAATTAGAAGATGCATAGGACACCTCTCACAGCAATTTTGACTACCAAATTATTATTATTTAATAATGTTCTGATTATTCAAAAATCCCAAGCCTCTGAAATACAGTGAGAAAAGGAATCTAGAAACAAAACAGTGTCACAAGTCCCAGGGTCACAGAGAGTCCCTTCTGCACTGGTATCCAAGAGTGAAATTCTTACCTCCCTCAACTCAGTGACTTTTTTTTTTTCTTTTTTTTGAGACGGAGTCTCACTCTGTCACCCAGGCTGGAGTGCAGTGGTTTGATCTCCGCTCACTGCAAGCTCCGCCTCCCAGGTTCACGCCATTCTCCTGCCTCAGCCTCCCGAGTAGCTGGGACTGCAGGAGTCCGTCACCATGCCCGGCTAATTTTTTTTGTATTTTTAGTAGAGACGGGGTTTCTCCATGTTAGCCAGGATGGTCTCGATCTCCTGACCTCGTGATCCGCCCACCTCGGCCTCCCAAAGTGCTGGGATTACAGGCGTGAGCCACCGCGCCCAGCCGTGACTTTTATTGTAAGATAAAATTCTCACATTATTGGTCCTCTGATATCTAGACTTCAGTGCAATTATGAGATTAAAATTTGTGAGAAAGGTAATGAGATTCCCCTAGAAGAACACATAACAATACAAGGAAATATGGACAACCCATGGTATGTCAGCAACTGGGCCGACAAAAAGCTAGGCATTATAGTATTATAATTATTATAGTATTATAACCTACCACAACAGTATTATATTGTGCTATAGACCATCATAATAGTGAAGGATCATAACAGTCTTCCTGAATCATTTCTAAAAGTTGTTGATTTCAGTGGTGTCTATTTAAAACTTTAAAAAGCAAGTTGTTTTAATTTAAAACTATTTTCATCAAAATTGTTTAAAATTCTTAAACTTGGAGAATTTAAAGGTTAAATTCCAGTTACCAGTAAAATTTACTCACTGCTGTGAAAATATAGCACTAACGAAATGTTGTAACTTGACAAGTCAATTCTATAATAATTATATAAAATATACCATATCATTAATATTCATAATTTAAACATAGACAGGAGTTTAAAATTTTAATCTCAAGGATTTTTCCTAAAATAAAACCCATCATCCGAAACCCCTCACCCATAATCTGAAGCAAAGTTCCACTTCACAGAAGATGATTCTTATATACTTTACACACAAACCTTTATGGGACAAATGAATACAATTGAAATAAAAAATCAGAGTTCTGACCACTCAGTTTCTTCTGTTTCTGTTGAACTGTTTCTGAATAAATGTGGCAATGACATCAAGGCTCTACAACACCTGGATTTGATTCTGTATCTTCAGGATTACTTTTCTTTCACATCAAATGAATCACTCATGAGATCTGCTGATGGATTAGTCAGTGATCCATTCTTCTCTCTATTCATTCTGTAATGATTATCCTTTTATTAAAATCTTCTCATACCCAGATTATTTATACCCATAAACACTGTCCTGTCTAGGTCTACATTTGAAAAGAAACGTCAAAACTTGTAACTGAAGACTCAACCTGCTTTAATTTAATTTTGTGAGCACACAAGCCCCTTCTTAACTGAGTAAGCATTACTATCAGGTAGCCAGTCATAACTTCCACCTAGCCTACAGTCAGAGATATAATTACACTCTCCAGTAGAAGACAATCAACAATACAGGCATATTTTTCTTCTTTGCCAGTTTTATAATGGTAGAAGGGCTTTTTTGGCAATCACGTTACTGACAGGCTGTATCTATCTGATAAAATATAATCTTAAAACCTGTCTTCCTTTTCAAAATTCATGGATTTGCTGTTTTAAATGTCAAGAAATGTTTGCCCTTTTAAAATATGCATTTATTTATAACTATATTTTATGAACCTTGGCTCTGGAATTATTCAATATTTGACCAATAAATAAGAGAAAGTTAAAATACTGCATTAAATACAAAAAAAAATTGCATCAAGCGAAGATAATAAAAAGTTGGTTCCTTCATATTTATTCTAGATGGGCTGTGCCAGATAACAAATTTAAAAGATTTTGAGTCTCTCTTTTATAACAATTCAATGTTTCTTATAAGCCTCTAAGTCACTTAGCATATGATGTGGGAATGCTTAGCATAGTGCACTAAAAATGCTACATAAATCTTTGCTGACTCAAATTGAAACAAACTGTGAATTACACGTAAACAGATAAATGACAATGCTAAATAATAACTGGTCAATAGAGGTCAAATAGATTGTTATGGGAACAATCTATCACTGCTATAGGAGATATAGCAACTAATGCCAAATGAGGATTTAGAAAGGTTTCAGCAAAGAAGTTGCATTTGAATATATCCATAAAACATTTATTTAAAACCTAATAAGATTTTTTAAAAACTTTGTAAAATATGACTTCAGCTGACTTTGTGGGGTTATTTATTTTACTTTTTGTCTTCAAGTTTTTGATTATCATTATTAACTGCTTTGGAGTTGGCAGCATTACTTGCTACTGTTAGAATCATAATTATCATTTTAGCCAAGATTGTGCAATGAGAGTTTCTGGGAACCAAGATGAGAGCAAGAAATGCCTCTATGTCTATGATGGTTGTTATAAAGCTTATGTACTTTATACTTCTACAGAGCTTGTTCACTTTTTATGCTCAATACCAGCTGTAGATTAGAAGCAAATCCCGTCCCATCACTTGCTGCTCAGAACACATCAAGACACGGCCGTTGCTTAGATAAAAATTCAAACCCCTGAACAGAGCTTAAAGGGCCAGTGATCAAATGGCAGCTGCCTCCTGCAGCCTCTTTGCTTACCTCTCCCAGCTTACTAAACTCCAGAAATAATGACTTTGTGTGTGTGTGTGTGTGTGTGTGTGTGTGTGTGTGTGTGTGTGTGTGTGTGCGCGCGCGCGCGCGCGCGCACGCCCTAGAGAATAGTTAAAGAGCCCTGGCCCCAGATTGCCTGATTCAAAACTTGACTCCACCATTGTCCATATGTGGAAGCCCTAAACATTTATATAAATATTCTGGATCTCAATTGCCCCACCTGTAAAATGGGATCTCACATGACTATTGTCAGAACTAAATGAGGTAATACATGTAAAGTGCATAAAACATTATCTGTCCACAGAAGTAAGCACTTTTATAGAGGTTAAGTGTCATGATTGTTTTGTTATTTTAGAAGGTAATCAAACACGTTTATTGAATGAATGGATCTAATTGCTAGTTAGATAGACTAACATAGTGAAAATGGCATGGGGTTCTGGAGGCTGACAAACCTTAATTTGAAGAATAGCTCTCTCTCTTCCCACCCCCCTCTGTCACACGTGTGCACACACGCAGAAAACCTAAAGCATAGGCATTTAAAGCCATTTAGAATAAGAGTTAAGTTTCCCTCATTAACTCTTAAGAGCCAAACATGGCAAAGACCAGACAGAAGCAGTCCTTATGAACAAAAGTTGCATTACGTTCTGCATACTCTGTGTTGGAAGGGATGGAGATGTGTAGAACATTTCCAAACTTCCCATTAAAAATGTTTTAAATGAATATATTTCAGAATGTGAATCAGCAAACTAGACAATTTTTTTAAATTTGTATAAATTTAGAGTGTACAAATGGATTTCTGTTAAATGGATACATTGTGTAGTGGTGAAGTCTGGGCTATTCCTGTTTCCATTACCTAAATAATGTACTTTGTACCCATAAAAAAATTTCTCATTCCTCAGCCCCTTCCCACCCTCCCACCCCTCTGAGTCTTCATTGTCCATTGTTTCACACTCTGCTTCCATGTATACACACTATTTAGCTCTTACTTATAAGTAAGAACATGTGGTATTTGTCTTTCTGTGTGAGTTGTTTCACATAAGATAATGGCCTCCAGTTCTATCTATATTGCTGAAAAATATATGATTTCATTATTTTTTATGGCTGAGTAGTATTCATATGTGTATATATATGTGTGTGTGTGTGTGTGTGTATATATATATATATACACACACACACACACATACAATTTTTGTTATCCAGTCATCCACTGATGGACACTTTGGTTGATTTCATGTCTTTGCTATTGTGAATAATGCTACAATAAACATATAAGTGAGGTATCTTTTGGATATAAAGATTTATTTTCCTTTGGGTAGATACCCAGTAGTGGGATTGCTGGATTGAAAGATTGTTCCATTTTTAGTTCTTTGAGAAAATCTCCATCCTGTTTGCCATAGAGGTTTTGTTAAGTTACATTCCCACCAACAGTACATAAGGGTTCTCTTTTCCCCACATCCTCTCCAACATCTGTTTTTTGTTGTTTTTTTTTTTGTCTTTTTAGTTACAGCCATTCTGACTGGTGTAAGATATCTCATTGTGATTTAATTTGTATTTCTCTGATTAGTAGACCATTTTACTTAAATGGAGCAGTTCTGCCATCTCTGCTGTGCAGCCTTCCCTGAATTGTCAAACCTTCCCCATGTTCTGCTTCACAGCCACACAGCACCTGTCACATCTTATACATGCACAACCCTCCTCTCTTCACATCCACACTCCACCCCCTCCAGTTTGGCTTCTAGCCAAATATCTCCAAATTGCTGAATCTGAAGGATTCACACATCACGTTCTTATCTTATAAGATTGCCCAGAAGGTCTTCTGGATTTTGAAACCCTCCAACCTCTTGGTTTCTCTTTTCTCACTGCATTCTAAGGTATCTCCAAACTTCCCTGACTTCTTTTTCTCTTTCATGCATTTCTCTTTTCCTAACAATATCCAAATACTGCCTTCCAAAGAATTTGGCTCTGGCTCTCTTCTCTCCTCTCTCTGTATTCTCTCGTGAGGTGATCTCATAAGTTCCCATACCATAAAAGCACATATCCCATGTATATGATGATGACTTCCAAATGTGTATCTTCAGGCCAAACCAACAACTCTGTTGACAATATCAGAGACATCTCAAATATACCATGTCCAAAACGGAACTCTTGATTAAACTCCCCAGAAATGTGTTCCTGCCCTAGGGTTTTCCTCCTACACAAATGACACCAGTACCCATTTAGTTGCTCATTCCTAAAAACTAGAAGTCATTCTTGGTTCTTCCACATTCCCTATGCTTTACTCCTTTATCCATTTAGTAACAACGCATACACCTTCTACCGCTAAACTTTTCTCTATTCGAATCATTTTCTCTGTATTCATTTCCACAATTACTCTGTTTTAAGACAAAATCATGACTCACTGGAATTACTGCAATAGCCTTCTAACCAATCTCTCTGCTCCTAACATTGAACCCCTCCTATCCATTCTCCACACTAAAGTCAGGATGATCTTTAGAAATATAAATTAAGTGATATTCCCGTCATGCATTAAACCTTTCAAAAACTTCTTATAACACTTAGAGAATAAAATTTGAAAGCAATACCTTGCCCTAAAGGGCCCAGTATGATCAAATACTTCCCAGCTCTGCAAACTAAACATTAATCAATTTTCCCCTTGCTGACTGCACTGGTCTCCTCCAGGTTTCTCAAACATGCCAATCTCTTTCTTGCTGCAGTGTTTTCACATTTGATGTTAGCTCTGTTTAGAAAAATATCCTTCACATTACTGGTAGATCTGACTTCTTATCCTTCAGGCCTTAGTATAATTGTACAAATTATTGCATTTTTTTGCAAAATGTACTTTACAAAGAGGGCTACAGCAGTATATCCTAATAACATGGTCTTCTTACAATAAGACTTTGAGATTCCTCCCATCGAGAGGTAAGGCATCTATGCTCTTTCCCCTTAAATCTAGATGGACTAATTACTACAAAGTAAATGATGATATTATGCAATTTCTGAGGCTGGATCATAAAAAGCAATACAGGTTCTGCCTAGTTATCTTGGATCACTCACTCTTGCAACCCAGGCACCATGCTGTGAGGAACTGCAAGTAGCCTGAAGAAGCTCACCTGGAGGTGCACCAGTGACCAAGCCACAACTATGGCCAAGCTCCCAGGTGACCACCAAATCAACCTGGCCAGCCATGTGAGTGAGCCAACATGTAAGAGGATTCTCCAGCCCATAGAGCCATTCTAGGTGATGCCACATGGAGTAGAGAGGATCTGCCCTTGCCAAGCCCTGCCAAAATTGCAGACTTGTGAAGAAAATAAATAATTATGGTTATTTTAAGCTACCAAGTTATAAGATGGCTCATATGTGGCAACAAATAACTGAAACACCTTCTCGATGAGGCTTTCCCTTAACTATGCTGTGAAAAACTGTCCTTTTGCATTAATCTCCATCACTGAAATTTATTCACTTCTTTCATAGTATTTGTCACAATTTGTAAGTATTTATTCTTCCCTTTTGACTTAGCTATTTCATAAATTTAATGAGAACAAGTAGTATATCTATTTTCACCATACAAGCATATGCACCAGCACCTAATAATTTTCACTTGCTCTGAAACATCTGATAAATGAATAAACGCACATATTGCAATGATATGTCTAAATTGCAGCCTGAGACAGTCCCCCCCTAGTATCTCATGAGAGCTTAAAGTCAAGGACCAGAGTGTTTAAATCTTTGAATTCACTGTATCATGTAAAGTGAACACTCCAGGTCCTTAATAAGCATTTTCATAAATTAACACATATGAACATCTAAATAAATAAAATTTTATGGCAATGCCATAAAATTTGATGGTAATTAATATTTTAATGACTCAGCTACACTGAGGGTTGGTAGTAGGATTAGGTCTAGATAATTGAATAATTAAAACAATCATCTAGTTAGATATTGACAAATTTTTTCTGTAAAGACCATAAAATAAATATTTTAGGCTTTGCAGGCCATACAGTCTGTCACTAGTACTCAGCTGACACTGTACCACAGATGCAACCATAGAAAATACCTAGATGAATGAGCGAGGTTTTTTTCCAAAGAAACTATTTGCAAAAACAGGTGGCTGTCAGATTTGACCTGCAGGCCTAGTTGGTTAACTCCTGATCCAGATAATTTAATCGGAATAAATATTTTTATTCCATGTAAGAAAAACAACACGATTGTATTTCTGATTATGTTACTTAAATATTTCTACATTTTCTTTTAGTAAATTATGCGTGCTATATCGTGATTATCAAAAGCGAATTTGCAAAGAAACATTTTCACACATCCTCATTTTACTGTAAACCAAAGTGCTATTTGCTTTCTAATCTATTTATGGAATCTGACACAGGCTTTGGTTTGGGACAGGACAACCCTCTTGTGATGGTCATTAAAATGTCTGCTCCCCATAAGACCATTTTAAGTTGACCTGGAATTTTCTTGCTAATGTCTTCTCCACACTAATGAAGTAATTATGACATTACACGCTTTTCTTTTTATTTCCATTTTTCCTCCTTGGAATATCTACATTACTTCTAAATACTCATAAAACATTCACAATTTTCCTTGGAGGCCATTAAAATACTGATGAAATTAGCAGCAATATCTCAAATTAAGCTTTCCCAAAGAGCCTTTGATCTAAATTTAATAAGATGACATATTATTTTACTATCTAAAAATAAAATCCAATCATGGTTGCTAATATGTAATAATGTTTTATATTTATTTGTCTCAGATGAGTTAACATAAAGAAAATAAAATGACATTTGTTTTCCTCTAGTAAATTCTAAATAACTTTTTAATCTTTAAGTTAAAGACACACTTAGAAACAAATATTCTTACAATGTTAATTCTTACTGAGAAATGCTCTTTTTCCTTCTGTTTTGAACACTTCATATTTTAGCTTACATAAAATCAATGTGTGTTTAAAAAATATTTTATTACTGTGTCCTTGTTTATTTTATTAAAAGCTAGAGACAGTTATTTTGGTTTCTGAAGGGACCTGTCTATATTTATGTGATGCTTATAAAGGAAAGAATAAGTGGTTTTGACTCAGCAGACCACTGATCTTATTTATATTGTTATGGGTGATCATATAAAGGCTATGTGCTTAAGATCCCTCCCAAACATACATACAGCTAAATATAAAACATAAATGGATAAATCAAGGTGAAAATCAGTCATTAAAGTAATTTGACATTTCACACCAAAAAGCTGCAACCTTATTGAGTAATTTTGTTTGGTATAAGAATTGTGTTTGATAGACACTATGAAATGTAAATTGTGACCTTAGGCAATATAAAAAAATTATTTTACTTCTGCACACTCAAAAATTGCAGTTTAATTAAAGTTTCCTATGTATCATATACAGACATCATCCTCACTATGTTTTTTTAAAGTGTAAATTACCTACTTTCAAACAAATGGCACTTGCATATTTTTCACCTGACTTATCTATTAATCACTTATATTTACTGAATTTAATAATATTGGCTCAGTCTCTCTTTCTCTTTACACATGGTAACAAGTTCAGGAAGTACTGTCACTAATATTGTTTTTTCAGGAGACATTTTTGTGTGTGTCTACATTAGCTTCAGCAGCATGGTATGACCCAGTGCTTCGTGGGAGTGAAATAAGGGTTAGTCAAAATGTTGGCATCTCCTGGAGATTAGAGTGTGGCTATGAGAGATAAATAAATAAATAAATAAATAAATAAATAAATAAACCTGAAAATTTACTTACTAATAGGGTTGGGAGAAAATCAAAGATGGAATGAGGCATCAGTAACCATATAATTTATCATCTAAACTGAGACACTTCTGAAAGTGAAACGGTTGTTAGCAATTATGTCAAGACAACAGAAATAAAATCAGACTGTCCCACACAAAACAAGATGTAATGTCACCTGAGGATAATCTTACCCCAAGGAGACAGAAAGGCAAGATGAAGATAAGAATAAGTTATAGGAAGAATGGCTATTTCTCAAATGCCATCAGGTAACAGAGATCTAAATGGTTGTCTCTGGTGATAAATGTGACAGGAGGTACCATTCTGTGATGAGGTTGCCAGTTAAAATGCAGGACTCCAGTGAAATTTGAACTTAGCACAAACAACAAATAATTTCTTAGTATAAGTGTGTCTCAAGCAATATTTGAAACATAGCTTATACCATTTAAAAATTCTCATTTATCTGAAATGCAAAGTTAATTGGGAGTCCCATATTTTTAAAGGGAATTGTTAGGATGGACATATTATATAAGAACTGAAAAATCTACCACTGCACTATATACTCCAAGATGACACAGAGAACACTTTTTTTGAACTAGGTAATAAGGAATTCATAGGTGAGAGAAGCACTGGAATCTTTGGTGGTAGCTGTCCCCTGCAGGCTAGTGTTAAGCAGGAAATGCTGACATGGAAATAGGTCATCTACAATTAGCGGAAATGGTAAGATTCCTAAATAGCAGCGAGGCAACACTTAATCATTTGAGGCAATGTGAACATAATTATCAAATTGTAATAAGGCTAGAGTGACAATCAGAATATCTTGATCTAAGTTATCTGCAGTGGCAGCTAATATATCTTGGTGCTCCAGAGGAAACATAGATTGACAGCTTATTGGTATTGTTCAATTTATATGAGCATAAATATCAAGAGCTGGTGATCATATGACTCATATCGACCACCAAAATTGACAATGGCAGTCCCTCAACCAGTTTAAGATCTCAGTAAGTTTGTAGAATCTGTTGGTTAAAGAGAAGGCCTGTTGCCTTGAGGATGACCCCTGCAATGTAATTACAAGTCTATTCCTTTGATCCTCCCATTTGACATGATAATAATGCACTGGAGAAGAAAGAATATCCAATATTACAAAGAGGGCTAAATTCTAGGTCTGAGGTGACACTAATACCAGGAGATCCAAAATGCCTACATTGTCTTGGGATGAGTGGGAGTTTATGGAGACTAGGGGGGAAATTAGATTTTGGTCCAAGTCTGATACAAAAAGAGCACAATGGACACTTAAATACATCCTGAAGATATTTACAAGTCACTGGATATATATTTGAGAGAGACATAGTACTTAGAAGCAGACAGAACCCATACATTGGCTTTTATATTTGTATTTGTAGAGCAGCTACCATTATAGTAGGAAAAGCCAAGTTGAAATTCCTGAAAATCAACTCCAATACCAAGATGGTAAATTAGAAATAATACCTCATACAGAAATTAGTGCAATCCGCAAAGTTTTGAGGACACGGAGTGATGGTACTCATCAGAGAACTGTTCAATCAACCTATGAGGCTCCTGCAAAGGAAAAGATGGAGCATGGTAGAACTATTTACTATACATTTAACTGGTTGGCAACCCCAACCATAGCTGCCATTCCAGGTGCAGGTCTTTAATGAAGTATATTAGTAAGGCATCTGGCACTTGGTAAGGTGATGTTAATGTGGTCAATGTCGTTTTCCTGAAGCACAGCATCAGGAAGGATTGGAATAAACATACCTTTATATGGTAAACACAGCAGTACACAGTCACAGAAATGTCTCAGGGCTATGTTACCTCTTCTATTCCTTGTCATAATATTGTCTATAGGAACTTTGATTGTCTTGATTTATTTATTTATTCATTTGAGATGGAGTCTTGCTGTCACCAGGCTGGAGTGCAGTGGCGTGATCTTGGCTCACTGCAACCTCCGCCTCCCGGGTTCAAGCAATTCCCCTGCCTCAGCCTCCTGAGTAGCTGGGACTAAAGGCGTGTGCCACCATGCTCGGTTAATTTTTTGTCTTTTTTTAGTAGAGATGGGGTTTCACCATGTTAGCCAGGATGATCTCGATCTCCTGACCTCATGATCCACCTGCCTTGGCCTCCCAAAGTGCTGGGATTACAGGCATGACCCACTGCGCCCAGCCCTTTGATTATCTTCTAATTCCACAAACTATGCTATGTTGACACCAGGCCAATAGAACTTTCCCAATAAGACACATGCACGCTGAAGTGTAGAAAAGCGGTCCCAGAATCCTGCAGAGGTCTACCAACTAGTTAAATTTTCAGAATTCCAAGTCCGTATTAGGACAGTACATCTAAAGTAAAAGGAAGTTAATATACTTCAAACTTCCTATTACTTGGAAAGAGCCATAACGCTGTGTAGGCATCGTTGGATTTTGGAGGGACTATTGTTCTAACCATTTATATAGTGAAAATTGAATGCTAAAAAATTCAAGTGGGGTCCACAGTAATAGAGGGCTCTTCAGCCAGAGCAAACTGCCATGATTCAGGACATACAGCCTAGTAAAGCCCATGTTATTATACTAGAGATATTCTTGGAATACAAGGATGCTATCTATGTAGAGAGTCTGTGGAGTAAAAAGTAATAATCTTCTCTGTGGACAAAGTTGCAAGTCAGACATTCATTTCAAATGGAGAGAGAAAAATGGCCACAGGTATTATTATATACTGAATCCTGGGCAGTGGTGAATGGCTTAGTCACTTAACCAGGTATTGAAAAATAAGGCTAAAATCATGGGAAAAGATTGCATGATCCATATAAAGGAAATGAGCACAATATATGCCGATCTTTGTGTCTCTGATGAGTACCATCACCATAGTAATTCTATCCAGAAAGTATTAATCATAAGGGAAGCTCTCCTCAACAAAGTGAGTGTGATGTCCTCTCCAGTGGTACAGTTTTCAGCCACTTTAGTGTTTAAATTATGACCAATGAACAGAGGGACCAGGGTGGAAGAGATTGAAGCTATGTATAGGCCCAACAGCACTGGTTCCTCACCACAAAGTCTTGCTGAAATATTGCTACTAACCAACTTTCCAACAGGAGAAGTATATCTGAGCCCTTGATATTTTCAGAAGAGACTAGTGAGTCACCTCTCAGTGGTGACTTCATTGAGCCTCTCCTACCTGGGAGCAGACAGTGAGTTGACTTTATTAGAATTAATATAAACTTTGGATATGGGTTTGCCTTCCCTGCCCAGAAAGACAGCATACAAAATCTTAAGGCAGAGGAAACAAGATATTTTACTTTTGACCTTTAAAAAAGACTTTTATAATTCAAAACTATTAACTAGACAAGAACCTCAGCCATTCACAATATGCAGACTTGAGGAGGTATAGGATCCCCGACACACAAAGAAACTTTCTCTTAATAAAAAACAAAAACAAGACAATGACAGAAAACAACCAGTAACTAACCTTACTAAGGTGCTACAAAGGACAAAGCCTAAGATTGGAACTAATATTCTAGCCTCTCTATTAAATTAATACCCTTCAGAGGACAGAATCCTGATCCTGGATCTCTAAGTATAAAGAATAGGGAGTTTGGTACATGAATAGATGCTGGGGGTGAAACTAGGTGTATTAGGGTTCTCCAGAGGGACAGGACTAATAGAATAGATGTATATATGAAAGGAAGTTTATTAGGGGATATTAACTTACATGATCACAAGGAAAAGTCCCACAGCAGGCCATCTGCAAGCTGAGGAGCAAAGGAAGCCAGATCGAGTCCCAAAACCTCAAAATCAGGGGAGCCAACATTGCAACCTTCAGTCTGTGGCCAAAGGTCCAAAAGCCCCTGGCAAACCACTGGTGTAAGTTCAAGAGTCCGAAAGTTGAAGAACTTGGAGTCTGATGTTGGAGGGCAGAAAGCATCCAGCACAGGAGAAGGATGAAAACAGGGAGACTCAGCCAGTCTAGTCCTTACATGTTCCTGTGCCTGCTTTTTATCCTAGCTCCACTGGCAGCTGATTAGGTGGTGCCCACCCAGATTGAGGGTGGGTCTGCCTCTACCAATCCACTGACTCAAATGTTAATCTTTTTTGGCAACACCCTCAGAGACACACCCAGGAACAATACTTTACCTCCTTCAACACAATTAAGTTGATACTCGATATTAACCATCACACAGGGTATCTTCCTACATTTTTTCAAGAGGTATCTGTTTTATAACGTGAAGTCTGAATGTTCAAGAAACAAAGTCTGCATTGGGTTATGTATCAGAACCACAACGGGAAACATAAGTACACTCACAGTAGGATAATTCAAAGAAGGTTTAATAAAGGATTTGTTTACAAAATGGTGCACATGATTTAGGGAAACCAGAAAGGAGCATGCACTACCCTGTAACCACCATTAGGCCCCAAAAGAAAAGGAGATGGAATGCTTACCAGAACCAAAATGAGAAATTATGTGGAGAGGCCCACATGAGAAGAACTGTCTCCCTTAAGTCAGTAACCAGGACACCATCCAGGAAGAGAGCAAAGATAGTAAAAGCATGGCCTCACTCTCCACCTTCCCTCCTGTTTTCTGCAGGACTGATCATTGGCCTAATCTACCCAAGATCAAAGGGCAAAGGTATTCATCATGAACTCTATATAAATTAGCCTTCCAGAATTGAAATCCAGTTTAAAAAGACAGAAAGTAGATTTGAAATGACAAACAAGATATCCAGCAAAGGCTGCATTTCTCAGTGCTTTACATTTCTTTGAGCTTCTTTACTTCTCCCAACATAGAATTTCTTCCTAAATAAAGATGGAGAAAAATCCAGAGACATCCATTTTGTGGAATAAAATATATAAAAAGGGACTACAGTTGTCCCTCTTTATCCATAGGGGATTTGTTCCAGGACTTCTTGTAGATACCAAAATCCACAGATGCTCAAGTATCTTATATAAAATGGCATAGTATTTGGATACAACCTATGATCATTCTCCTGTATATTTTAAATCATCTCTAGATTATTTATAATACTAATATAATATCAATAAAATGCAACATAACTTCTATGTAAATAGGTGATATACTATATTGTTTAAGGAATAATGACCGGAAAAAAAAAGTTTGTACATGTTCAGTACAAAGAATTACTGGGCAAATGAAGCCAATCTGAAAAGGCAGCATGTTGTATGATTCCATTTATATGACAATCTTGAAAAGGCAAAACTATAGAAATGGTAAATAGAAATGGACTAAGGTGGAGGAGGGTTGAATAGGTGAAGCACATGAAATGTCTGGGGGCAGTAAAACTATTCTGTGTGCTACTGTAATGGTGGATACATGACAATATGCATTTGTCAAACATAGCAATTTATGGCACAAAGCATGAACCCTAATATATAGAACTTAAGCAATGATCATTTAGAAGTTTGCGGAATTCCAGGATGGACTGTAACAAAAGGATCTAATACTATTATTACAGTTGTATAAAATAACATCATTGAAGGGCGTGGGGAAAGGAGGTGCTGATCCATTTAACTTTAGAAAAGCATGGAGACTGTAAGACTAAAGGCAAAAGGAATTGTACATAAGCCTGTGATCTCATTGATATAGTTGTCTTCCATGGGAGTTCAGGTTAACAATTCTGAAACCACTATACTAGAATTAGACAATTAAGTGAATATGTGGAATGTGGAAGTTATGTTTTTACATGTTGTTGTATATTACAGCAAACAAGGGGAGAAGGCTGGAATGATGCATGTAATGGATTAGAGTTGAAGATATTATATACTCATGTTTAGCTTGATATAGATACAGATGGATATATAAATATTTACATATATTTGTATGTTCAGAAGTTAGTGTGCACACATATATTTCCTTGCTCTGTCAGATGAGAGGGCCTAGGAGCAATGACGCTGCAGTAGCAATGAGCATATCTAGCAGAAAGATCTTGATTTCTAACACCATTCTCCAATAAAAGGAACCAGAGCTTCTTGAGGAAATAGCTAATTCCAGAGCTGGGGCAGGAAATATATAAGATGAGCCCGAAACTTCTTATAATGACAGGAATTAAGGAAGTGTTCAACAACAACAAAAAAAACCATGATAGTGTTATGTCAAAGGGACGTAAAAGCCAACTGAACTAACTCCCAATGGCTAAAGCTGGAAAAATTTGAGCAATGTAATAAAATTGTATTGGAAAATGATTTAGACTATATTATAAATATTCATGAGTTTATAGTGATATTCACAAATGATTGAATTAAAAAATGGAGCACAAAATATAAATCTCCCATTCAGAAGAATAAAAAATGATTTATGTAGATACTGTACCCTCAAAGAGGTTAGCATAATTCTTCATAGTAATTTTCTTCCAAAAGGTACAGTACGTCAAAGAAATGGGGATAACTTTACCTTGGAGAAACCTAGCAAGCACTGCCTCAGCCAGATTTTCAAGGTCAACATCCACGATAATAAGTGATGCTGATAGCATGTACCCTTAGTATGATGTGATAAGAATAGCACTTTACCTTTGTAGTCTTTTTTCCAAAAATGCACATTCTCATTTGATAATGAGAACACATAAGACAAATCCCAACTGAGGTATATTCTGCAAAATAACTGAATGATACTCTTTAGAACTGTCAAGGCCATAAACAAAAAAGAAAATCTGAAAAAAACTGTCACAGCCAAGAGGAGCCTAAAGAGACATAATGTCACAATGTGGTATCTTGGATGGGATCCTGGAAGTGAAAAAGAACATTAGTTAAACACTAAGAAATCTGAATAAAATATGGGCTTTAAG
Organism: Homo sapiens; assembly: GCF_000001405.40. Classification (NCBI taxonomy): domain Eukaryota; kingdom Metazoa; phylum Chordata; class Mammalia; order Primates; family Hominidae; genus Homo; species Homo sapiens. Next base: position 129,491,877 of record NC_000004.12, on the reverse strand, counting down.
TAATACTAATGTATTAATATTGGTTCATTAATTTTGGCAAATGTACCATACTAATCTAAGATGTTAAGAATAAGGAAAATTAAGTGTGGGGTATATAGGAAATCTGTGCAATCTTCACAACATTTCTATACACCTAAAATTATTCTAAAATCAAAAGTTTATTTAAAAGAAAAGGCATTATTCATGAATCTTACACATAAAATATCTTCTTTGTTCAAACTTCACAATCTGTCATAATATGTCACTATTAAACCAAATGATGAACTCTTTATATACATTTGAAATGTTTTTGTCATGACACACCTAACACATATACCAGGTTATAACTATCATGAAAGAATCCTTCCAGATTATAACCATGTGGTGAAGCATTTAGGACTTGAATTTCATGTTGTTAACTACTTGGCTCTGGTCATAAATCATTCTTAAGAAAGGAAGATACAAAGGCTACACTTGAGTCTTAAAAGTAGTTGTTGTCTCTTAACAGTAATTCCTAAATATTTCAGCTACTTCCAGAAGGCCAATGGACCACTTCACATCAAGGCCCTTCATTCTATTTAGGCTAATGCTGATGACTTATGATTGAGGCTCTGATCTTTTATGAGTATATCATGAACATCAGGAACACATATATAACAGTACAGCTCTGAAGTGGCAATCTGCTCAGTGTTTTGTGATAAATCTTTCTCCATTCAGTAGACAAATATTTCTTTAGGCTCTGTTAGTGCTAGTCTCTGTGCTGGGTCGTGGAAACAAGAAAGATATCATTCCCATTTTCACAGAACTCACATCTAGTTGGGAAGACATATATGAATAACTGGTTTGTTAAGTCTGAATTAGATAGATAGAAAAACTGCTTTCAAGGAAAGGCTTCATTCAAACACAGTCTATCTACACGCTTCCCTTAACACTCCCAAGAATTCTCAAATAGATAACGTCATTTCCTAATATCTCTAAGTGACCAAAAAGTTTTAAATCAAAATTCCCATGCAGGTAACAAATAATTTAACCTTACTTGAAGAGAGCCCTGGCCTTTGTTTCATGCAGGTAATGATCTCAGGGAAGAGTATCTTTGTTACATGGGAGCCTCGACTATCACACAGCTTAACAGTGTGATTTATGACAAGGACTTTGGGTCATGCAGTGTTTACCTCCAGAGAGACTGGAGACTATGGGCAATCAACCATGGAGCCCCCAATTAAAACTCCAAACAACAAAGCTTGAGTAAGATTATCTAGTTGGCAATACAGGAAGTGTATATTGTCATCTATCAATAATGGCATCCTTGTTAACCAAATGGAAAGACTTTACACCACAACACTGCTGCCCTGTTTTCTCCTCTTACAATAGCAGGCTGTTCTAGTCAACAGTCTGTCTTGAAAATCCTCCAGGGAAGTAGTAGGCATTGGTCTTTTATTCCCCAATAGCCCAAATTTCCAGGGACCACATGACATCCTTTTCCAAGAACTCCCTCACTGTGCTCTACTCTGTTGCTTTTGAGGTAAGCTTACAAGTGAAGCTCAGCAGGTATTTAGACAATGAAAGTGTCCACCTCCTATGCCTGCAGATACATTCAATCTCTTGCTTCCCCTCTGTGTTATTCAGGGTTCTCCAGAAAAACAGAGCCAGTGATAGAGTTTGCCAATTCCAGAATCTGCAGGGTGGGTCAGCAGGCTGAGATGTAGGAGAGCTGAGGATGAAGGTTCTGTCTAAAGGCCGTCTGCTGGCAGAATTCCCTTTTCTTGTGGCAGGTCACTCTTTTGTTTTATTCAGGCCTTCAACTGATTGGATGAGACCTACCCATGTTATAGAGGGCATTCTGCTTACTCATAGTTCACTGACTTAATTTTAATGTCATTTGAAAATACTCTCACAGAAACGTCTAGAATATTCGACCACATATCTGAGCACTGCGGCCCAGCCAAATTAACACATAAGATTAACTTTAAAAAGGAAATATTGCCCTTTTGTTCTCTCTCCCAAATATGAGATAAAACTCCAAAACACTTTCTCCTGGTCCATGTCACACTATCCCGCATTGACTTTCCTGTTTCAAACAATTCCTCTGGAATGTCTAGACACCCCCTTTCTATAGGTTAGTGAGTGTTTGGTGGGAATGGTGTCGAGGATTACAGGAGAGTTTGGAGAGTGTGATAAGCTTGGAAACAGATTTCTAGCTTCTTTAGAATGCAGAGGTACCTAGTTTCTTTAGCTTTAGGAATTTACCTGTTGTCCCTGCATAAAAGAAGTCCTATGAGCATGCTTTGATGCAATTAAACAGGCAATCGCAACCCAGTGTGTTAAGTGCTATAAAAAGGGCAGTGAAGACTGCATTGGAAATATATACAGAAAGATTTCTAAGTCAAGCTGGAGGACATGGGAAAGTAAAAAGAAAAAAAGTATAAAAGCTGGAGACTGAAGCACAAATAGGAGCTGTCTTGGAAAACAAGGTTGAAATAAGAAGAGAAGAGTTCATTCCGATTTAAGGAGTCACATATGTGACAACAACCAAAAGTAAGACATAGTGTGAGATTTTGGAAGAACTGCAAGTTATTGAGTCCCAGTGGGACAAAAACTTGTAGAGTCAAATCAAGAGGCAAGAGATAACGTTGGAAAGGTAAATAATGACCAAATTTTAAAGCTCTCAGTAGGCTACACTAGAGAACTTGGATTTTATCCTAACAGCAGTAAGGAGAATTTGAATGATTTCAAGTAGGAAAGTGATATGGGCAGATTTACTCTTTAAGTTCAGCACCAGTTACAATCAGAGAATGGATTAGAAAAGAGGATAGAATATGACTGTGCCACTAAGTCAACATCTGGGAATACACAAATAAATGACTTATAGTTCCATTTCTCCAAGAGGTTACAATTCAGTGACAAATGTTAAATTTTGTCATTGAGAGAACAAAAAAATACTATAGGTGTATCTGTTTTTTACTTTTACAAGATGTATGACTCAACAGCATGTTAGGCAATTGATTCTCAGAAACAAACATAAAAATTTTGCCATGGTATACTCATGTCTTTGTACATATTTGTACACATTGGTATTTGGTTTGTCTAATGAATAGAAAACTAAAAGGACAATGTCTGCTCAAGAAAACATAATTTACTCTAGGTATATCAAACAGAGGGAAAACATTATAGGAAAACTGTTGCCTTTTAGAAAAGTTAAAAAGAAAAAAAAAACAGAAAAGGAGAAGTGAAATAGAGCCTACCAAAACTTCTAGGCTGGAACCCACTAGCCTGCACCTGTTACCCCACTTTGGAGATGCTATTGCAGCTTATTCCAGATCCGTCAAATATGGGCCACCTGGACCCAGCTAGGAACTGCTGAAAAGGTGCTTTTCTGTCTTGGCTACTGGAGTCCAGAATCATTTCACCTCCTCTGCTGCTACAGAAACTCCTATATAATTCCACAACCTGCCAACAACTGCCACAACACTGAAGACCAAAGTAGGAAGTTTTCTCAATTTGTACCCTTCTGATTTCCTCACAATATTCCCCATTAGTAGAACATAGCCAGCTGGCAAAGGAGCCTAGAAAATGTAGACTCAAAATCTGAGCCATGCTAGTAAGAACAGAAAAGAGCGTTAACAGGATGATACTGAGATACCACAAATAAATAGCTATCTCATCCCGTATTACATTCCAATGCCCTCATTTTGGGTTATTTCTCTTAAAATCTTTAATGATAAGTCCTTCTGGAAGTATTTATCAAGAATAATTGACCTCAGAAAGAAATGCTTGGAATCCAGGTTGTCCTTTACTAGAAACTAAATAAGATTAGGACATCTGCTAAAAATTCAAGTAACAGATGCTAAGATATCTATGCTATTTCACTGGTTGTCAGTGACTATATTATAAACATTGGGCTAACCACAGAACTTAGAGAATTTACCTGCTTAAAAGCAAGTCGACTTTAAGCTATGATCTATGGACTAGAATTTACAATGATGCTGACTAAGATGAAAGAACAGTAACAAATGCCAGGTTATTTCACAAAACCCCTCAAATTTAATTAAATTTCCATGGACATAACCAACAATCATTGGCCGATGATCAATGGTTTGTCTTAGCTATTTCAGGCTAAAGAAATCCTTAATTTGGGTGCACCTTCCTTACCTTAAAATGACCTGAACTACATCACAAGTTTCAGCATTGATCATTACAGTTCTGCACACTAATTACCATCCATAATCAGATGATCAGAGATAACTCTATTAGGCAAAAGTTAAGCTTGATTTTAGCAATTTGTTGATAGGAAGTATATATCCTTGTTCTATTTTACCTCACGAATTATTTCAATTAATCAGGCAGTGTGGTAGGCACTGTGCTAAGAACTAGTGATGCAGAGATAAAGAGAACCCTGCCTTAAAAGAGTTAATAAATTAAGATAAAATTTATTATTTAGTAGTGGAGACAGACAAGGATCAACACTAACAAGCTATGTTTTAAGGATGATGTATAGTATTGAGGACACCATCAAGTTATTGGATAATTAATAGGTTTCTCATTAATCAACATGCAGTTGCTTGTTGCACCAAGTTGTAAGACCTGTTGAATTTTTAATACTAGCAAGGACTAGATAAGTGTTCTAGGTCCTGCATTTATCATGCTGGATACTGTCATGTGCACTTACAATGCCTGCCTCTAGGACCTCCCTGTATAGCTGAGAGTTAGACAAGGAGGCGGCAATGTGAGGGCTATGAACAATGCTAAGATGGAAGCTGAGCGAATGGTATTAAAGGGGTACCTCAACTTTTATACCCACTGTGTGTCGAGAGCTTTTACTTTTCATAGTTTAAGTAATGCCTTTATTACTTCATCTATAACTATCCCAAAGTAAACTTGATTTTTGAGTATATAAATGCAACTATCTAAATATAGTATAACAAATAGCTTTTCACAAGTATTTTTACTAATGGCAATAGAGAGAACAACTTGACTTTTCTCACAAAGTCTAAAACATCTGCTATAGTCCTCTGGAAAAATAAAGAACACAGAAGCAGAAAATAGTGCAGACAATATTATCACACATAAATAAATTGTTTGTACATAATCTCAAAGTAGGCTTGTTCAAATAGTTCAAAATTGCCTCTAAAGGATTACCTAGCCACAGACTTGGCAAGCCAGCAATGATGTGAATCAAACACTTTTGCAAGATTTTTAAAATTAATACTGTGTTTCAGTGAGCTTGCAATTAGCAAAGCTTAAGGACTTAAACCATATCAAAAAATTGTTTAAATCGTAACCCCTCTTAGAGCTCAGTCCAATAACTTTAATAAAAGTGTCCTTGGATTTTTCAAATATATTATCATTTCAAATGGAGATTTTTAAATTTTTAGCTTTATTTATTGAGTACTAATACTTAATGTGTGCCAGACACTCGTCTATGTATTTTACATATATGAAAACTTTTAGTCCTCATAAAAACTGTGAGAAGTGTAGTAAAATTTTCCACTTCATAGGTGAAATTACTCTAAGAAATACATTTTGTAAAACCAGAATCTTCTGTTTTTCAAGGGACATGTAAATAACATAGCACCAAAAAACCAGATGAAATTGAAAACATCTACGGAAAACTCAGACTGATTTGAAAGAGGCAGACATTTGGCATCCATTTCTCATGCTACTGGTGGCAGAATGGTACATGAAAAGAAGTTTAATTTACTTGTGTGTGTCAAGAGTTCACAGAACTGTGTTAGTCATATGCTTAATCACATAGGTAGCCACTATGTAATATATTCAAATATCATATATGGTATTCAAATAATCACATATTCAAAGTTTAGAATCAAGGAAAACTCTTTTTCTTTCCCAAATATCTTTCCCCATTAAACATGCTATTAAACATGTTGTTTTGCCCTTACTTTGAATCTGCTTATCAGTTTTTTACCATAGTGCAAAATCCCAATAGAACAGGACACCCAAAGCTAGGAATGTAGGATGGGGAAATATCAGCCATATATAAAAACCATTTAGAGTGGCGAGCTCTAGACAGGAGGCAGGCCTGAGACACTTCAGAAACTTGAGATAAGAAGGGAAATGCTCTTTGGAGTAGAAGTAACATGGTCTATGTCGAGATTTGTCTAAGGCTGGCTCCAACAGGGAGAGCACCTATCTACCGAAAAAAGGATCTCTGGAAACAGATTCCTGAGTTCAAACACCAGCTCTGCCACTTCTAAGCTGTATAACCTAAGGCAAGTTCCTGAAACTTTCCCTGCCTCATTTCCTCACCTATGAAGTGGAAAATTTTACTACACTTCTCACAGTTTTTATGAGGACTAAAAGTTTTCATATATGTAAAATACATAGACGAGTGTCTGGCACACATTAAGTATTAGTACTCAATAAGTATTAGTTATGCTAGGATGATCAGAATCTTAAGCTTAGGAACCCAGCATATTGATGTTGGCAGTTAGGTTAGACATAACTTGGTTTCACTTCATTACTTTGGGGATCTAAAAAACTGAGGCTTCAAAATGGAAAATGACTAGCTCAAAGTCACAAAGGTAAAAACAGACAAGATTGGTGTTCTGTCTAATCAGGAATACTTATCAAACAAAAAAAATATATATATGCACACTGTATATATATGTAACATACACTATATATAACATATACATATACTATACATATGCACATATGTATATATATATCACTATACTTATGCATATATATGTATGCAGACCTCATTTTGTTGTGCTCTGCAGATATTTTGCTTTTTACACATTGGAGGTTTGTGACAACCCTGTGTCAAGCAAGTCTATTGGCACTATCTCTTCAACATGTATTCATTTTGTGTCTCTGTGTCATATTTTATTAATAAAATAATAGTAATTCCAAAATTACTAAAATTTTCAAAACTTTTAAACTTTTTTATTTTTTATTACTTCTGTGGCTGTGATCTGGGATCAATGATCTTTGATGTTACTATTGTAATTGTTTGGGGTGCCAGAAACCATGCCCAGGGTGTGTTCTGGCTGCTCCACTGACTAGCTGTTTCCCTATTTCTTTCTCTCATTTCAGGCTTTGCTTTTCCCTAAGACACAACAATATTGGAATTAGGCCAATGAATAACCCTACAATGGCATCTAAGTGCTCAAGTGAAAGGAAGAGTCACATGTCTTTCAGTTTAAATCAAAAACTAGAAATGATTAACCTTGGTGAGGAAGGCATGTCAAAAGCTGATATGTCCCCAAAACTAGGCCTCTTGCACCGCTTAGCCAAGTTATGAATGAAAAGGAAAATTCTTAAAGGAAATTAAGATACGACTCCAGTGAAGACAAAAATGATGAAAAAGTGAATTAGTCTTCTTGCTGATATGGAAAAAATGTTAGTGGTCTGGGTAGATCAAGCCAGCTACATTTCCTTAAACCAAAGCCTCATCCAGAGCAAGACCTCAACTCATCTCGATTCTATGAAGGCAGAGAGAAGTGAGGAAGCTGCAGAAGAATAGTTGGAAGCTAGCAGAGGTTGGTTCCTAAAGTTGAAGGAAAGAAGGCATCTTCATAACATTAAAGTGCAAGGTGAAGCAGCAAGTGCTGATGTAGAAGCTGTAGCAAGTTATCCAAAAGATCTAGCTAAGATCATTGAGGAAGCTGGCTATACTAAACAACAGATTTTCTATGTAAACAAAACAGTCTTATATGAGAAGATGCCATCTACGACTTTCATAGCTAGAGAAGAGAAGTCAATGCCTTGCTTCAAAGCTTCAAAGAACAGGCTGATTCTCTTATTATGGGCTAGTGAAGCTGGTGACTTTAAGTTGAAGCCAATGCTCATTTACCATTCAAAAAATTCTAGATCCCTTAAGAATTATGTTAAATCTACTCTGACTATGCTCTATACGTAGGAAAACTAAGCCTGTGTGACAGCACATCTGCAATTCACCTGGTCATCCAAGAGCTCTGATGCAGTTGCACAACAAAATAAATGTTGTCTTTCATTCCTGCTAACACAATATTCATTCTGCAGCCCATGGGTCAAGGGGTAATTTCAATTTTCAAGTCTTATTACTCAAGAAATACATTTTGTAAAGCAATAGCTGCCATAGATGGTGATTCCTCTGATGAGTCTGACCAAAGTAAATTGAAAACCTTCTGGAAAGGACTCACCCTTCTAGATGCCATTAAGAACATTCATGATTTGTGGGAGGAGGTCAAAATATCAAGATTAAGAGGAATTTAGAAGAAGTTGATTCCACCCCTCAAGGATGACTTCAAGGGGTTCAAGAAAGACTTCAGTGGAGGAAGTAACTGCAGATGTGGTGGAAAAGGCAAGAGAATAAGAATGAGAAGTGAAGGCTGAAGATGTGACTGAATAGCTGAAATCTCATTGTAAAACTTTAACATATGAACAGTTCCCTTTTATGGATGAGAAAAAAAAAGTGGCCTCTTGAGACAGAATCTACTACTGGTAGAGATGCTGTGAACACTAATGAAATGGCCACAAAAGATTTAGAATATTACAGTAACTTAGTTGATAAAGCAGCAGCAAGGTTTGAAAGGATTGTCTCCAATTTTGAAAGAAGTTCTACTGTGGGTAAAATGCTATCAAACAGCATTTCACGCTACAGAGAATTCTTTTGTGAAAAGAACACTCAATCAATGCAACACACTTTATTGTTGTCTCATTTTAAGAAATTGCCACAGCCACCCCAGCCTGCAGCAACCACCACGCTGGTCAGTCAGCAGCCATCCACATAAAGGCAAGACCCTCCACCAACAAAAAGATTATGTCTAGCTAAAGGCTCAGATAATCGTTAGCATTTTTTTAGTAAAAAAATTTTAAAATTAAGATATATACATTGTTTTTTAGATATAATACTATTTCACACTAAATAGATATGGTATAATGTTAATGTAACTTTTATGTGCATTGGGAAACCAAAAAATTCATATGACTCACTTTAATGTGATATTTGCTTTATTGTGGTGATCTGGAACTAAACCTGTCATAAGGTATGCCTGTACATATAATCCAGATTTTACCAGTGGAAAAGAAATGAATGTTGTACACTAGAGCAGTAATTTCCTAAAACATATCTGATTTTTAAAAGTTATTCAGAGGAACTATGATCTTAACTTAAGGATATTGCTAACACAGAGATACATATCTGGAGTTGGAGATATTGTTCATGCCCATAGATGTCGTGCGAAAGACAGAAGCAGCCAAGAGCAAATATAATAATCTAATGTAATCATTTTAAAAATATATATAATTTACAGATGTTATAATGGGACCTCCAACACCAGACAGAAAGGCACTGGCACTATAATATTCCTTATATATATTTTAAAAAAAAAAGGCAAGCCACAGTAACTCACTCATATAATCCCAGCACTCTGGGGGGCCAAGGTGGGAGGATTGCTTGAACCCAGGAATTTGAGACTAGCCTGGGCAACATAGCTGGACCCTCATCGCTACAAAAAAAATTACAAAAGTAGCTGTACTTGGATGCACACACCTGTAATCCCAGCTACTCAGGAGGCTGAGGTGGGAGGATTGCTTGAGCCTAGAAATTCAAGACTGGAGTGAATCGTAATCATGCCATGGCACTCCAGCCTGGGCGACAGAGCAAGACCTTGTCTCAAATCAATAAATTAGTAAAAATAATAAAAACCCTGGAGGTTAGGTGATTTTTCCCAGGACACAGCATGCTGTGTCTCTTTCAAAATCATTAGAGAGTATTTTTTTTTTTTTTTTGAGACGGAGTCTGGCTCTGTCGCCCAGGCTGGGGTGCAGTGGCGCGATCTCGGCTCACTGCAAGCTCCACCTCCCAAGTTCACACCATTCTCCTGCTTCAGCCCCCCAAGTAGCTGGGACTACAGGCGCCTGCCAACACGCCCAGCTAATTTTTTGTATTTTTAGTAGAGATGGGGTTTCACCGTCTCTACTACAGCTTAATCTGTAGTAGATTAATCTCTACAGGAGATTAAGCCAGGATGGTCTTAGTCTCCTGACCTCATGATCTGCCCACCTCGGCCTCCCAAAGTTCTGGGATTACAGGCAGTCTAGAGGCATACAACACACAGCTCCGCCCAGGTGCAGTGGCTCACGCCTGTAATCCCGGCACTTTGGGAGGCCGAGGTGGGCAGATCATGAGGTCAGGAGATCAAGACCATACTGGCTAACACGGTAAAACCCTGGCTCTACTAAAAATACAAAAAATTAGCCAGGCATGGTGGCACGCACCTGTAGTCCTAGCTACTCGGGAGACTGAGGCAGGAGAATCACTTGAACCCAGGAGGTGGAGGTTGCAGCGAGCCGAGATAGCACCACTGCACTCCAGCCTGGGCAACAGAGTGAGACTCCGTCTCAAAAAAAAAAAAAAAAAGCTCCGTTTAGACTGTAAGACACATATCTCTATTTGGAGCACTCTAGCCAAGTGTCTACAAAGTAAAAATATTCCAAACACTTCAAATTATAACTAAATGGCATTAGTCTCTTTTTTCATATTGAGACTTAAGTTGAAAATATAGCCAATTTTTGCTTCTATCTTCTTTGCTCTCCCCATGCAGTCATATCACTTGCACGATTATAGATGCAGTTAAGTTGTGTCAGCAATTTCCTTTACGCAGTCTGCTTCACAAATGTTTATAAAACTAGTTTTTGTGGGGGAAAAGGATGTTTTAAACTGAAACACAGCAAGTAAAAATCCCATCATTTGAGAGCAATTTCCTTTATCTACCTTGCAAAAATGTGATGTGAATATATAAACAGATACTAGCTAATTTAAGGTATATGAAGAGGTAGTATAGAAAATGGCAATAGAGGGATAGGCAAAACAGAAATGGACTCCAGAGAAAAATTTCTTTGAGATGTGGGACTTAATGATGTATGTGTATATAACATAACATACACATAATATTTGGGGACATTAAATTTAATGGTATATGCAGAAAAAGGGTGAATATAACAGTTTGGGTCTACAGAGACAGAGAAGTCTGTAGCATAACTTCTATTAATAAGCAGACAACTAATTGAGGCCAATACGAGAACTGTTAGAAACCTGACCACATGGCCCAATGTCTCCTCACAAGCTTTCACAACAAGCAAAGAGAATACTCCAAGCAATAGCTCTACTACACACCTTTCTTAACACCACGTATACTACCACTCCGCATGTCTGTTCAAAGAAGTGTGTATGCATGTAATTTTACATTCCAAATTAATTTAAATGTAATCCGGGCACACCTATGAGAAATAGTTTCTCAAGGCTGACTGTGTTTAGGTATAAGAAAGAGGGGGAAATATTATCACAATAAATTTTTGAGAATTGTGTAAGTAGGACTACAGATAGCTCAAAAAATATTAAGACTATGGCTTGAGATTCTAAATGTAAAAGGTATTTCAAAAAAAAGTTGAGAGGATCTCAAAAACAAGATTTCAATTAAGTAAGAGTATATTAACTCATTTATGAAGAAGAGCTGAAGGTGCCTTAATAAACCACTAAATCTTCACAAGTTGCTCTTCACTACAATTAGATATTTAAATGATATACAAAATGAAATAAGACATAACTAAAACAGAAATGCAGATGTGCCAGTTAAATTATTTGCTAGTCAGAATAATGGCTTCTAAATATGTCCATTCCCTAATCCTAGAAGCTGTGATAATGTTAACCTTACATGGCAAGAGGAACATTGCAGGTGTGATTAAGGTGAGATAAGGATATTACCTGTACTATGAAGGTGGACCCAATCCAATCACATGAATCCTTACAAGCTGAGAATATCCCAGCTGTGATCACAGTGATATGTGACCAAAGAATAAAGATCAAAAAGATGTGATGTGAATAGTAGTCAACTCGCCTTGTTGGCTTTGAAGATGGAATAAGGGATCCAAGGAATGTGGACAGCCTCAAGAAGCTAGACAAAAGAAGGATTCTCTCCTAGTACCTCAGAAAGGAAGTAGGGGCCAGGCTTGGTGGATCACGCCTGTAATCCCAGCACTTTGGGAGGCCAAGGCAGGAAGATCACTTGAGGCCAGGAGTTCGAGAGCAGCCTGGGCAACATGGTGAGCCCCTATCTCTACAAAAAAGGAAGAAAACAAAAAACAAGGAAAAGAAAGTAGGCCTGCTTATACCCTGATATAAGCCCAGTGAGAACCCATGTGGGACTTCTAAACTGCAGAATATGAGGTGATAAACTGTGTTCCTTTAAGCCATGATGTTTGTAGTAATTCATTACAGCAAGAATAAAAAACTAACACAGACTGTTAGAAATAAGCTTTCCGTAGGCCAGGTGCGGTGGCTTACACCTGTAATCCCAGCACTTTGGGAGGCTGAGGCGGGAAGATCACGAGGTCAGGAGGTTGAGACCATCCTGGCTAATATGGTGAAACCCCATCTCTACTAAAAATACAAAAATAAAAATTAGCCGGGTGTGGTGGCACATGCCTGTAGTCCCAGCTACTAGGGAGGCTGAGGCAGGAGAATCACCTAAACACGAGATGCAGAGGTTGCAGTGAGCTGAGATGGCATCACTGCACTCCAGCCTGGGCAACAGAATGAGACTCCGTCTCAAAAAAGAAAGAAAGAAAGAAAAAGAAAGAAAGAAAGAGAGAGAGAGAGAGAGAGAGAGAAAGAAAGGAAGAAAGAAAGGAAGAAAGGAAGGAAGGAAGAAAGAAAGAAAGAAAGAAAGAAAGAAAGAAAGAAAGAAAGAAAGAAAGAAAGAAAGAAAGAAAGAAGCTTTCCTTAAATAAGGAAAACTCTAAAGACAATAAAAAGGATAATTGAAGCTATGTTCTGAGTATGAAAAAAATATAAGGAAGAAGTAATGCCCAAAAAAGGAAATGACAAAATAGTGACAAAAGGAAGCACAATTAATTGAGAAAGTACATGCTAAGATGTGTAATACAATGCAAAATACTAACCAAATATTAGGATGTACTTCCATAGGTTGGGAACTTCTAGAGATCAGGAACCAAGTCTTATTTGTCTAAATAAGACAATCTCTAACAAAAATTAGACACTCATTTTTTTTGTTATAGAAATGTTCAGTTTATATTATCCTCCTGATTCCTCTAGCAGATGGAATAATCTTAGGGTGAAAACCATTTTCAAAATGCCAATGCTTTTCGAAAGGACTTTAAGTCACAGGTCTAAATGTGTCTATAGCTTCTGGCCTGGCTGATTTTTTATATCTGGGGGTTATTTAGGATTATTCACATAAAACCCTTTAAGATTTGAATAGTCAGAGAACAAGAGAGGAACTGGCTTACTAGAGACAAATTAGATTTAGATTGTTCAGAAAAAAGAAGGTGGATTTGCACATTATAAACTGATGAAGTTTAAGTTAATACCAGGAATTATTCTAGATATGGCCATTAAAAATATTTTTGGGCTGGGTGTGGTGGCTCAGACCTGTAATCCCAGCACTTTGGGAGGCCAAGGCGGGTGGATCACGAGGTCAGGAGATCGAGACCATCCTGGCCAACACGGTGAAACCTCGTCTTTACTAAAAATACAAAAATTAGCTGGCTGTGGTGGCGCACACCTATAGTCCCAGCTATTTGGGAGGCCGAGGCAGGAGAATCACTTGAATCCAGGAGGTGGAGATTGCATTGAGCTGAGATCACGCCACTGTACTCCAAGCCTGGCTGACAGAGCAAGACTGTGTCTCAAAAACACAACAACAACAACAAACAAAAAAATTTGAAGGCTAAAAATGTAACATTTAATTATAAGAAGGTGGTTAGCTTAGGCTCAGTAAGAACAGACGTGTTTGATTTATTTTATTTTATCTTATTTGTTAGCTTGCCATTCTCAAAGGTCAGAAAAATTCTTATAACATAGTGCATCTGGATTTCAATAGATATTTAACAAAGTTTCACAAAATATTCCTGTAGGCAAAATGGAGACATGGAACTAGAGAATAGGACATTGAAGAAGCGAACTTCTTTGGTGGTTATTACAAAGGCCAAAAGTTAATGGGCACATGCCCCTTTGGAAGGAGATATTTTAAAGGATGTCAGTTCAACAGTTCTCATTAACCCTGTACTAACTAGTTCAACATTTTGATAATATATAAGATGAGGAGATTAGTGGCAAGTTGATCAAATATTTGGATAAAGCTGAAAAGGATAGTAAATCTAGTATATGATTCTAATATGTATTGTACATGGTGGTGTAGTATTTAGTATATAATTCTATAAACATGAATTATAATAATTATTATAATAACTGTTTATTGAAAGAGAATGGGTCATAGATTAAAGAAATAAGATTATTCAGTTAATAGTATCCATTCTGCCACTGCTTGGTTATGTTATCCTGGATAATTTGCTGACCTTTCTTTATCCCAGTTCCTTCATCTATAAAATATTAATTAGGATAACTTCTACCACACAAGTTTGTTTGATATCTAAATAGATGATCTATGTGAGAAAACAAAATGTTAAGCACACTAACATACATAATTTTTTATTATTAGCTATAAAATAATCTGCTTAAAATAAAAATATAAGACCTTAGAATGTAGAATATATATCTTATAAGACATACATGATGGAAAAATGCAAGGATTTTATATAACTATAACTCTAGTAAAACTCAACAATGGAATGAGTCTGCTATAACTGATAATAGAATCCCAAGCTTTGGTGATGGACAAAAACCATACAGGTCAAATGAAGCAATACCCTATCCTAGAATGGTTAAACCATCCCTGGGGTACTGACTTCAATGTTAGATGTTGGATTTTCAGAAGAAGCCAGGAAAATTATGATCAAGAAGTCAGACTCAGGTGATCAAAGTAACAAGAAGAGGGAAAAAGACTAACGTTATGAAGAATCCTGAAGCAAAGCGAATATTCAGCCTAAAGAAGAGAAGAATTAGCCAACGTTATGTAGTTGAATGACTGTCATGTGGGAGAGATTTTGGGAGGCTTTAGGAATAGAGTGGAAATCAATAGTTAAGAGTACTCGCTGGTCAGATTTCAGGTCAACATAGTAATAATCATCTTAATGATGGTAATAATAATAATAGCAGTAAATGCTTATAAGAGGCCTGTTGTGTGCCAGACAATGTCAAAAGTGCTATATAATAAGTCATTTAATCCTAACAGTGATGCCAGGAGAAGACACTAATATTATCTCCTATTTAAAGCTGAGGAACCTGAGACATATAGAAGTTACATAGTTTGCCCAAAGTTAAACCAGTGAAGATTTAAGCACAATAGTCTGGATCCAGATCTCCAGAGATATGCTGCCTAAATTTATAACAGTCTGAGCTCTCTTAAATACAAAGGATCATTGTGGGGAAAGAAAAAAAGAATAAGATTTCTTTTCCTGAAGTTGCTAAGCATAAAGTGACACTGTGACCTCTTGTTCAGATAGGTGAATAAAATGACCTGTAGAGTTTTTCCTTTTATTTACCAACAGTACTGAAGAATGTCTATGAGCCAAGTTCTGCAATAGGAATTTGAGAATATCAGCCTGAACCCATGATAAAATTTTTACCCTCATAAAGTTTGCAAATTAATAGAGTATAGAGGTATTAGCAAAATAAATAATAATAATTGTGATTGCTGCTACTAAGAAGTACATGATGATATAAGAATATTTCCTGGAGAACAAGATGGGGGATAAGAGACAGAGCTAACATGCAGCTCCCACTTAGATGAACAGAAAAGCACGTGGAGACTCACACCATGATCTTTTGCTTCAAAAATCATTGCAAGAACATACCAGGAAAAACAAAAGAATTCACAGATCTTTTGAAAGAAGCAGTGTGCCACTGCAAATTCTGCAAAACAGGTGAAAAACCATGAGTTCTCAAACTGTGATTGGGGGAAACATGCCTCTGAACACACAGCCCCACTGGGGAATCTGAAAGTCTAGATCACAAAAGAATGATTTAAACTTACATAGAGCTGAAATGAATTTAGGGAGTGGCATGAAATATAAAAGTAGAAGTAGCAGCAGGAAGTGCTTTCAGGGACTCCCAGTCTCCAGCTCAAACCCAGGGAAGCCATTCCTGACTACAACTCACAAGGGCCCATGGGGAAGGCAGCCAGTTGAATTGGAAAGAAATTGCAGGGCAAAGGAAGCTTCTGATTGAAATTGGTAGTAGTTTTGACTGGGCACAAATTTTCTTGAGTGGAGTGCGGGGAATGAGCAGGAGCTGCTGCAGATATGAGATCAAGCACGCAGGAGCCACCAGTAGAGTAGGCAGATAGGGGAAGGTGATGTCTAAAAGCCACGCTTGCTTTCTCAGCAGGGAAGCTCATGGCCTGGGGCAAGGTCTGAGTAGGGGCACTGAAGGAGAGACCAGCCCCACCAACTGTGTTGAAACCTCTCACTACCAGCTATCCTCTACTACCATGGCAAACTATATGACATAGGAGAGGCAGCAAAGATCCCCTCTGGAACTGATCCCATTAGCCTGAGAACCACCGCCCAGCCCAGTGGCCACAGCAAGCCCTGCCAAAGGAAAGCGTGAGCCCGGACCTCCCTAACCCTGCCCCCACCTGATGGTATTTCTCTACCCATTCTTGTAGCTGAACAAAAAAGACAGAAATTTTTGGGAGCTTTATGGCCCTGCCCATCACCTGAGAAAACAAAATACTTATCCTGGCCAATTTAAGGCAAGCTTAGATCCTTCTACTACTACTACTACAGCTGGTGCACTCACGACAGTGCCACTGGAGGCCAATGAACTCAGGCCATTACAGCAACTCACGACAGAATAATACTGATCCCAGGAAAAAGAAAATAACATCTAATCACACCACCTTCAACATACTGGCTAACCAGAGGTCCTGAGTCTGTCCACACAACAATATCACTGTTAGCATAACCAGCACACCAAACAAAACTATAACTAAAGACTCTTACAGAGTCTACACCATTCCTTTGCCACCTCCACCAGAGCAGATGCTGGTATCCACAGCTGGGAGACCTGAAGACGGATAACATCACAGGACTCTTTGCAGACATTCCTTAGCACCAGCCCAGAGCCTGGTAGCCCTGCTGGGTGGCTGGACCCGAAAGAGCAATAACAATTACTGCAGTCTGGCTTGCACGACGTCACATTCCTAGGGGAAGGGGAAGAGCACATCAAGGGATCACCTTATGGGACATGAGAATTTGTACAGCAGGCCTTGAGTTTCAGACCTCTCTACTGAAATAGCCTACATAGATAAGAAGGAACCAGAAAAGCAATTCTGGTAACATGACAAAACAGGGTTCTATAACACACCCCAAAGATCACACCAGCTCCCTAGCAATGGATCCAAACTAAGAAGAAATCTCTGAATTGCCACGTAAAGAATTCGGAAGGTCAATTATTAAGCTATTCAAGGAGATACTAGAGAATGGTGGAAAACAACTTAAACAAATTTAAAAAACAATACAGGATATGAATGAAAAACACTCCAGAGGAATAGATATCATAAAGAAAAAGCAATCACAACTTCTGGAAATGAAAGACACACTTAGAGAAATACAAAATGCAGTGGAAAGTTTCAACAATAGACTAGAACAAGTAGAAGAAAGAACCTCAGAGCTCGAAGACAAGGCTTTCAAATGAACCCAGTCAGACAAAGATAAAGAAAAAAGAGTCAAAAAAATGAACACAGCCTTCAAAAAATTTGGCACTATGTTAAACAGCCAAACTTAAGAATAATTGGTGTTCCCAAGGTAGAAGAGAAATCTAAAAGTTTAAAAAACTTATTTGATGAAGTAATTGAGGAAAATTTCCCTGGCCTTGCTAGAGGTCTAGACATCCAAATACAAGAACCTCAAAGAGCACCTGAGAAATTCATCAAAAAAAGATTATCACCCAGGTACACAGTCATCAGATTATGTAAAGTCAAGATGAAGGAAATAATCTTAAGACTTGCAAGGCAAAAGCATCAGATGACCTCTAAAGGAAAGCCTATCAGATTAACAGTAGATTTCTCAGCAGAAACCTTAGAAGTGAGAAGGAATCAGGGCCTCATCGTTAGCCTCCTGAAACAAAATAATTGTCAGTCAATAATTTTGTATCCAGAAAAACTAAGCTTCATAAATGAAAGAGAGTCTTTTTCAGACAAACAAATGCTGAGAATTTGCACTACTAAGCCAGCACTACAATAAATGCTAAAGGGAGTTCTAAATCTTGAAACAACACCTCAGAATACATTAAAATAGAACCTCCTTAAAGCATAAATCTCACCTATAGAACAATAACACACACATATACACACAATAAAACAAGGTATCAAGACAACAACTAGCATGATGAATAGACGAGTACCTCACATCTCAATACTAAGTTTGAATGTAAATGACAGAATGGATAAAAATCCACCAACCTAGTGTCTAATAGCTTCAAGAGACCCACCTAACACATAAGGACTCACGTAAGCTTAAGATAAAGGGGTGGAAAAAGATATTCCACACAAATGGAAACCAAAAGCAACCAGTAGTAGCTATTCTTATATCAGACAATAACAGACTTCAAAACAGACAAAAACAGCAAAAAAGACAAAGAGGGACATTACATAATGATAAAAGGATTAGTCAAACAAGAAAATATCACAATCCTAAATAAGTATACACCTAACACTGGAGCTCCCAAATTTATGAAACAATTAAGAAATGACACAGATGACAACAACAATAGTGAGGAACTTCAGTATTTTACTGACAGCACTAGACAGAACATTAAGACAGAAAGTCAACAAAGAAACAATGGACTTAAACTATACCCTAGAACAAATGGACTTACCAGATGTTTACAGAATACTCTAGCAAACAACTGAAGAATATACAGTCTTTTCTTCAGCACATAGAACATTCTCCAAGGTAGACCATATGATAGGTTACACAACAAGTCTGAACAAATTTAATAAAACTGAAATTATATCAAGTGTCCTCTCAGACCACAGTGGAATAAAACTGGAAATTGACCCCAAAGGAACCCTCAAAACTATACTAATAAATGGAAGTTAAATAATCTGCTCCCAACTGATCTTTGGGTCAACAGTGAAATCGAGATGGAGATTAAAAAAAATTGTGCTGAACAATAATATTGACACAAGCTATCAAAACCTCTAGGATACAGCAAAAGCAGTGCTAAGAGGAAAGTTTATAGCATCAAATGCTTATACCAAAAAGTCTGAAAGAGCACAAAGAGACATCTAAGGTCATACCTCAAGGGACTAGAGAAACAAACCAAACCAAAACCCAACAGAAGAAAAGAAACAAAGATCAGAGCACAAATAAATAAAATTGAAACCAAAAAAATACAAAAAATAAGTGAAGTAAAAACCTGGTTATTTGAAATAATCAACAAAATTGATAGACCATATGGGACTAACCAAGAAAAGAAGAGAAAATATCTAAATGGGCTCAATTAGAAACAAAACAGGAGATATTATGACCGATACCACAGAAATACAAAAGATTGTTCAAGTCTACTATGAACACCTTTATGCACACAAACTAGAAAACCTAGAGGAGATAAATAAATTCCTGGAAATATAAAACCCTCCTAGATTAAATCAGGAAGAAACAGAAACTTTGAACAGACCAATAACAAATAGCAAGGTTGAAACAGCAATTTAAAAAATTGCCAAGAAAAAAAAAGTTCAGGACCAGATGGATTCACAGCTAAATTCTATCATATGTTCAAAGAATTAGTACCAATCTTACTGAAACTATTCCAAAATATATAGAAATAGGGAATTCTCCCTAAATTGTTGTATGAAGCCAGTATTATCCTAATACCAAAACCAGGAAGGGACATAACAACAAAATAAAAAGAAAACTACAGACCAACATCCCTGATGAACATAGATGCTAAAATCCTTAACAAAATACTAGCTAACCAAATCCAACAGCATATCAAAAAGATAATACACCATGATCAAGAGGATTTCATACCAGACATGCAGGGATGGTTTACACAAATCAGTAAATGTGATATACCACATAAACAGAATTAAAAACAAAAATCACATAATCATCTCAATAGACACAGAAAAAGCATTTGACAAAATCCAGCATCCCTTTATGATTAAAACCCTCAGCAAAAATGGCATAGAAGAAATATACTTTAAGGTAACAAAAGCCATCTATGACAAACCCACAGCCAATATTATACTGAACAGGGAAAAATTAAAAGCATTCTCCCTGAGAAGTGGAACAAAACAAGGATGCCCACTTTCACCACTTTTATTCAACATAGTACTGGAAGTCCTAGCCAGAGCAATCAGACAAGAGAAATAAATAAAGGGCATCCAAACTGGTAGAAAAGAAGTCAAACTCTGTTTGCCAATGATATGATTGTATACCTAGAAAACCCTAAAGAGTCATCCAAAAAACTCCTACATCTGATAATTCAGTAAAGTTTCAGAATACAAAACCAATGTACACATACTGTAGCACTGCTATACACCAACAACCAAGCTGAGAAACAAATCAAGAACTCAATCCCTGTACAACAGCTGCAAAAATAAAAATATTTAGGAATATACCTAACCATGGAGGTGAGAGATCTCTACAAGGAAAACCATGAAACACTGCTGAAAGAAATCATCAATGACACAAACAAATGGAAACACATCCCATGCTCATGGATGAGTAGAATTAATATTGTGAAAATGACCATAGTGCCAAAAACAATCTACAGATTCGATGCAATTCCCATCAAAGTACCATCATCATTCTTCAAAGAACTAGAAAAAAATCCTAAAATTCATATGACACCAAAAAAACAGCCCACATAAGCAAAGAAAGACTAAGAAAAAAGAAATCTGGGGGGATCACATTACCCAACTTCAAACTATACTACAAGGCTATTATTACCAAAACATCATGGTACTGGTATAAAAATAGGCACATCAACCAAGGGAACAGAATTGAGAATCCAGAAATAAAGCCAAATACTTACCGTCAACCGATGTTTAACAAAGCAAACAAAAACATGAAGTGGGAAAAGGACACCCTATTCAACAAATGGTGCTGAGATAATTGGCAAGCCACATGTAGAATAATGAAACTGGATTGTCATCTCTCATTTTATACAAAAATCAACTCAATATGGATCAAATACCTAAATCTACAACCTGAAACAATAAAAGTTCTAGAAGATAACATCAGAAAAACTCTTCTAGATGTTGGGTTAGGAAGAGTTCATGACCAAGAGCCCAAAAGCAAATGCAACAAAAACAAAAACAAATTGCTGGAACCTAATTAACTGAAAAGCTTCTGCACAGCCAAAGAAATAATCAGCAGAGTGAACAGACAACCCACAGAATGGGAGAAAATATCTGTAAACTCTGCATCTGACAAAGGACTAATATCCAGAACCTACAAGGAACACAAACAAATCAGCAAGAACAAAACAAATAATTTCATCTAAAACTGGGTAAAGGACGTGAATAAATTCTCAAAACAAGACATACAAATGGCTAACAAATATGTGAAAAAATGCTCAGCATCACTAATTATTAGAGAAATGCAAATCAAAACCACAGTGCAATACCACCTTACTCCTGAAAGAATGGCCATAATTTAAAAATCAAAAAAATAATAGATGTTGGCATGGATGTGGTGAAAAGGGAACACTTTAGGCCAGGCTCAGTGGCTCACACCTGTAATCCCACTATTTTGGGAGGCCAAGGCAGATGGATCACTTGAGTCCAGGAGTTTGAGACCAGACTGGCCAACATGGTGAAACCCCATCTCTACAAAAAAATACAACACAGCCAGGCACGGTGGCGCACGCCTGTAATTCCAGCTTCTCAGGAGGCTGAGGCACAAGAATTGCTTGTACCTGGGAGGCACAGGTTGCAGTGACCCAAGATGGTATCACTGCACTCCAGCCTGGGCGACAGAGCAAGACTCTATCTTTAAAAAAAAAAAGAAAGAAAGAAAAAGAGATCACTTTTACACCACTGGTGGGAAATGTAAACTAATACAACCACTATAGAAAAGAGTGTGGAGATTCCTGAAAGAATTAAAAGTAGAACCACCATTTGATCCAGCAATCCCACTATTGGGTATCTACCCAGAGGAAAGGAAGTCATTATATGAAAAAGACACTTACACACACGTTTGTAACAACACAATTCACTATTGCAAAAATATGGAATCAGCGTAAATGCCCATCAACCAACAAGTGGATAAAGAAAATGTGGTATATATACACAATGGAATGCTACTCAGTCATAAAAAGAAACAAAATAATGTCATTTGCAGCAACCTGGATGGTGCTGGGGACTATCATTCTAAGTGAAGTAACCCAGGAATGGAAAAGCAAATATCGTTTGTTCTCACATATAAGTGGGAGCTAAGCTATGAGGATACAAAGGCATAAGAAGGATATAATGGACTTTGGGGACTCGGGGCGAAGGGTGGGAGGGGGTGAGGGATAAAAGACTACACATTGGGTACAGTGTACACTGCTCAGGTGATGGGTGCAGCAAAATCTCAGAAATTACCACAAAAGAACTTATCCATGTAACCAAAAATCACCTGTTCCCAAAAAACTATTGAAATAAAAATAAGAAGAAGAAGAAAAATAATTTTTGAAAGAACATATCATGGGGGATTCTTTTTTGTCTGGAATATCTAAGTGAACATTCCTAAGGAAAATATGTTTAACCCCTTTTTCACCATCTATTGAAACATGTATCTAGTGGCCCCTTATCTTCACTCACTTAATCCTTGGTATATCATCAGAGTCCTCTGGACTCAATTTTAGTTTTTTATTTTCCTTGATGAGAATGACTAACAATTTATAAGGATTGATATTTCATGACATCTATTCTTTTAATTTTTATTAAAGGTCTATCAATGAACAAAATTAAATTTACTTATTTTTTAATTGAATAAAATCCATTCTATCTCACAATTACAATATAAGTGAATTGAAACTTTTTATAAATCTAAGATACTTTGTATCTTGAAACAATTTGCTATTTCATCATTCTAAGAATTGTTTCATCAATTATCATTGATTATTCCCAGCAATGCTAAGAAAGACTAAATAATAAGACAGAAAAATGTTGGAATCATCTAAAAATGATGATGCAACATTGAAGTAAATCATTACTATTGCATCATCTTTCAATTTTCACACTGAGTTGACCAAAATTTTACATCATTAACTTCTAAAAAGAATGATGAAAGGAGGCTGGAGATACAATCTTTGTAGACTGCTTTAAGGTTTCATTGAAGACAGTTGAGAATGCAGAAATTTTGTTTTCTCGTCATACTGACAAAGAGAAGAAAATTGTCAGAAGATAATGATTCACGTTTATTAGGTAAATCAGAAGATGAATACAAAGTGATGAACTGCAGCATTCTAGACTAGAATGATGATAATGAAATTGATGGTATAAGTGAAATCTCAGACTATGTGTCTTCAGATGACAATATCCTATATGAATTGCCTCAAATTCAAGATTGACAGATGAACAATATTTTAAGAACAAAAGAGAAATAAATCTAGTATTCTTATTCACTTAGTCATTTAACAAAGAACTTTGTAATGTAATAGTTAAAGACAGGAACTTGGACTATACTGTTTGGCTAAAAAAACATGTGACCATATCCTTTCATCTTTTGCAATCGTAAGGTTCCTAAGTAGACAGATGCTGAAAGTATATGGGTACACATAAGTAACTAGAGGGAAATAAGTGATGTCAAATGAAAATCAAATTAAATTAATCATCATAATTTGTGTTTATAAACCTAGAAATAAAAATGTTCTGTAATTAGGGAACACAGAAGATGGTCATCTTCAACAAAATTATAAGATGTTAGTATTTCAAAAGTTTTGTCAAGTAATGCATTTTGGTCATGCAAGTGCAAGAAGAACCAGTTATGATGATAAACTAGGATCTACCTAAGATATATTTAAAATCTGAAACCAGTATTTAGAAGATGAATGTGTTCCAAGTACAGACATGACAACTGACAGCTATTAGTTTCATTCAGAGAACAGGGTTCATTTCAGACTAATATATCTTCAAAAGCCAGAAAACATGAAATAAAAATGTGGACTTGCTCTGTTTAAATAGTTATGAAATTTTTAAGTAAAGTTGTTTTACCATTCCTTATTCTTATTTCCACATTATTACATGAATTAGAAATGTAAAATATAGAACTGGTCCCTTGGTCTCATGGTAAAAAGGTGGTAATACTTATGCTTAGTGCTGAAGACTGAGAGGCAGAGGAAGGTCCAGACAGCAAGACTAAGTAAGGTGTGTGGTGCTTTCACAACAGCATCTATTCCCTTCTGAGCCTGATTCCCAGGTTGTGGGTTCGTACTTCTTTTTGTATTTTTCTTCTTAATTTCTGGCTTAATTTGTGTGTTTCACTCTACTCTTGTAATGGTCCTTGAAGAACTGGCACTGATTTCTCTTCCTACTTTCAGAGTAGGAATTATATTGAAATCCAACTCAACAAAAACAAAAGTAGAGTCAGCAGGCAAAATTGAAATGAAAAGTTTTTAATAAGAATAAAATGATAGCGGAAACTTTTCCCAATAAGTTGCAAAATACAACTGTATTTATTGTATGTTATTATTTTCCTAGAGCTCTCATAATAAAGTACCAAAAACTGAGTAGCTCAAAACAACAGAAATTTACTCCCTCATAGTTCTGGAGGCTAAAAGTCTAAAATCAAGTGTCTGCAGGATTGGTTTCTTTTTGACTGCTTTCAGAGAAAATCTGTTCTGTGCCTTTCTCCTCGTTCAGGTGGTTGCCAGTAATTCTTGGTGTTCCTTGCCTTAGACATGCATCATTCTCATCGGCCTCTGTCACAATACGTTGTTCTCCTCTTCATGTGCCTGTGTCACTGTATCCAGATTTTTCTTTTCTTGTAAGAACACCCATCATATTGGATTTGAGACCCACCCGAATTCAGTATAACTTCATTTTAACATGATTACAACTGCAAAGATCCTATTTCCAAATTAGATCATGTTTACACGTTCCAGGTGAACATGAATTTTGGGAAGATGCTATTCAACCCAGTACAAATAACATTATTTACCAAAAATAATTCAGGAGATGTATGGGTGCTTTAACTGAATAGAAATATAAGGAATGAAAAGAAAACATTCGATAATCTCCAAAAAGAGTCCAATGTTTAAATAAAAGTGTTTTGAAATTAAATATTAATACAGTCAATACGTAGAATTTTTTTGATGCTTGACTAAAGGATCAATTATTTTATAAAAAATTTAAAACAACCTAAAATTGACATTTGGAGTCATTTTTTCTTGCTGTTTTCTTTTTACTTCTTGATTTTTAACAAATTTGTATTAAAAAATTATTTTGGTTATACCTCTCAGTTTAAATTTTCATAAAAGTAGCAAACATCTAGTTCTTACTTCCGCCTGCATGCCAAGAACAGCATTCTATACTACTCTGTGTTTTATGTTTGTTTGTTTTGCTATGCTTTGCTTTGTTTTGTTTTTATGGGGCTAATATCTCATTCTGGTGGGCAATATCAAAGACTATCTGATAATGATCAAGCCCAAGATATTTAAGAGATCAAAGATCCATTTGATTATCCACATTTCTGCAGCTCAGAATGCTATTTTGTCCCCAAGTTGCTTTCCTATCAAAATATGGATTTCTTCATGTTAACTTTCATTTCCAGATTCTGCTTTACCAGTGATCTCCTGTTTCCACAGTGTGCAAGACTCTGTGGGGTAAACTGTTCAAATAATTTGTATGGAAAAACACTCACGAATCCCGTTAACAGTAATGGAACCAATGTGAAGCTTCTGCAGTGGAGACTGTAGTCTCCACTGCAGAAGCTTCACTGCCTTGAACTACTTCAAATTATTATTGAAAGTCTTTAAGTCAATGTCATTGTCAGAAATGTACTAATGACAAATAATGTTATTTCATATGTTTCTCCTAGCATGTACTCATTGTTTACTGATGTTGCATACATTGTAAAAGAAGAAAACAAGAAATCTCTTTCTCTTAGTTAAGCACAGGTTTATTTGTTTGGGCTCCTGTGTTGAGTGGACAGGCAGGAGGTAATACAGTCAGTAGTGAGTGACATATTATGTTCCATCGAGCTGCCTGTGTGGCATCTTTTGTGATGTTTCATATGGTTTCTACTAAATTCCACTTCAGAATTATCCCCTAGCTGGATGCACTAAGGGTGCAAGGCTTTTCATACAAAACCCTTGGTGATCACCCTGTGCAGTCTGCTCGTAAGTAAAGAAGACTGTTAGTCTGAAGCATTCGCTGTTATCTGGTTTTCAAGGGGAGCTTTTTAGTCAAAGATGTGCATTGATTGACATCTCCATTGTATTAGATTCTCCTGCCAATGAAAAGACTGTAGAAGTGGCACTGAGCAACAAAGTGTGATTACAGCCCCTCTTCCCCTCTCCTAACCAAAGAAAACCAAAAGCAACTTACCTTAAATAGAACAAGTTGAGTCACATACTGGCAGAAAGGTAGGTTCTCAGTCTTGAAGAAAATAACAAGTTCAATAGTTCCCTTCTATCTTTCTACTGCGACTACTACAAAATTGTTTCTCCAAAGAATTAATGCTATTTGAGAACTGAGGTATTTATTTCCACCAGCATTATGTATAATCAGAAAATAATTAGATCAACAAATTAGAAAATATAAAGAGAATTTCTCATAACTTAGGCATGCAATACTCCAATTTTTAAAAAGACATAGAAGAAAAAGAGAATCTCTATGCCTGCCCCCCCACCCCCAGAACTTAAGACTCTTGCTTTATAATTTGGTCATTAGGATGCCCACAGTGGATTGGGCAATTGCTGTAGAAAATAATTTTGAGTTCTGAAATAAAGAAAGTAGAGAAAATTCCTTTAAAGTTTAATTAATTAAATAGTAGATAGTTCTCTAAGCACTACTCCCCGCAACACATTTATGCACAAAGAACTACTTTAGACAACAGTTACACATTTGAAGGAAAAAGAGGAAGATATTTTTAAGACTCCCGTAGTTAGCTCTCAAATTTCTATGTTCTTATCCAATGGGATAAAACTTGGAAAATCTTAAATATGTAGTTAAAATAGGACAAAAGATATTTTAATAATGATAACAATAATAAGCATTTATTGAACATGTACTATGTGCCAAACACTGTTACAGGTATTTTTCATATATTACCTCATTTAATCACTTGATCCTCAGAATAATCCTGTGAAATTAGTACTCTTTTTTGTTTGTTTGTTTGTTTGTTTATAGAGACTCTATCTTATTCTGTCACCCAGGCTGGATTGCAATCGTACAATCATAGATCACTGCAGCCTCAAACTCTTGGACTCAAGCAATCCTCCCACTTCAGCCTTTGGAGTAGCTAGGACTACAGGCATGCACCACCATGCCCAGCTAATTTTTTTTATTTTTTGTAGAGATGGGGTCTCACTATGTTGCCCAGGCTAATCTTGAACTCTTGGCCTCAGCCTCCCAAAGCACTGAGATTACAGGCATCAGCCACCATCCCCAGCAAAATGGCTACCATTTTTATCTCCAATAAAATAGACAGAATTATTTTTAAGAATATTATACATATTTCCAGCCGGCCACAGTGGCTTACACCTGTAATCCCAGCACTTTGGGAGGTGAAGGTGGGAGGATCATTTGAGGCCAGGAGTTCAAGACCAGCCTAGCCAACATGGCGAAACCCCTACTAAAAACACAAAAATTAGCCAGGTGAGTGGCGGGCACTGGTAATCCCAGCTACTTGGGAAGCTGAGGCATGAGAATCCCATGAACCCGGGAGGCAGAGGTTGCAGTGAGCTGAGTTTATGCCACTGCACTCCAGCCTGGGTAACAGAGTGAGACTCTGTCTCAAACAAAGAAAAAAAGAATATTATACATATTTCCAACTGATGTACTCAAAATGCCATTGGTAGATACCATAATATTCATGTTGGTCTCTTCATACTCTAAACATTTTGGTCCTCAAAAGTTATTTACCATCTGTTTGAATGATAATCAATACACAGAAATGAAAAATTCACATATAGGCTATATATAGTTGCTGGTTTCATTGGAGAAGGGGATCATTATCAAGTATATGCCTTTGCAAATTTCCTAATATGCTGCAATAAGAATCATCTTCCATACCCTCTTTCTTTCACTCACCTTCTCCAACCCTGCCAGTTCCCCATAACCCAACAGATTTCTTCACAGTCTAATAATCATATTGTTCAATTAAATACCCTAAACAGGTTATAGTTCCCCCACTAATCATGGTGAGTTGCCAAGGGGTGCTAACAGAGTATAAATGATTTTATATGGCTAATTGCCCGAGATCATCATAGAGAAAGAAGATGCCCCAAGCTATGTTAATAGAGATAACAGAGAGAGGATAGATATAGATAATATTTTGTACTTTAAATCTTCAATACTTAGTGAATAATTAGATATGGAGGCATGATGACAACCAGATTTACAGCTAGACCAGTCCCATAAACAAAAGTTGAGAGTCAGAAGTGGGATTGTCCACTTTAAAGGAGGGAACAACAGAGAAAATGCAAGAATACGATAAAATGGTTTATATGAACCTTTTCACTAGATTTTTATGTATATAACTCAAGCAGGTAATGAAGTCACAATATCAGTTATAGATTCTAAATAGCCATAGCAAACATCTCTTATACACCACTTAAATCTTTTGGGCTTTACCTCTTACTCCAGATCCTGCCTTAGAGTTCAGTTCCAAGCAGTATTTGACCAGCTCCCCACTAATGCAACCTAACAGCACCCACTTATTATATAATATATCTCTTTCTTTATGCCTCAGGGTTCTTTGGACTATAAGATTCCATTGACACTCAACACAGGTCCAACCTAGAAATGCAAGGTAATTCATCTTTGTCCGTGAACTCAAGGAATAAGAACCAATAGATAAATGCTCTCTCATTTGGTCTCTCATAGGGTTCTGAGACCCATGTCACAGAACCCTCAGCAAGTCCTATAAGAGCAATGTCACCTCTCGTTGTGATCAAGTCCATAATGCACCTTGTGCTGTCCTCCCTTCCTGTTTCACTCCTCTTGCCCTTCCCTCTTGCTCCCTGTATATCAGTTTTCTACATTCTAGGCTCCGTTTCATGTCTCATGCTCTGCTTTCATGGAAGCCAAGCAGTGGCTGAAGTGAGTTTTACACGTAAATAGCAAATGAGAAAATACAAACATTTTGTCCCAAACCCAACAGCTTGTGTTGATTAATTCAAATTATCAAGGTTGAAATTTCATTCATGTCAGAATTCACAGTGGTGCTATGAATATGAAAGCAAATCTGAAAAATAATCCTGCATTATAAGATAGTAAATTACTATCTTTTATATTTTACTGCAGACATTAGTAATTTAAAAATGGTCGAACATGGTTTTATTTTAAATATTGACAGGTCAGGCTGGGTGCAGTGGCTCACACCTGTCAAGCCAGCACTTTGGGAGGCTGAGGTGGGAAATCACTTGAGGGCAGGAGTTTGAGACCAGCCTGGCCAATATGGTGAAACCCTATTGAGAGGAGGGGCCAGCTGGGCTTCCTGGGTCGAGTAGGGGCTCAGAAAGCTGTGAAACTCACTCATTTCCTGCATCAGGACTGACTTCAGTCCTGGATGGATAATGTTGAAGATATATGCTTAAACCAGGATTTGTGCATGTGTTTTCTTCCCCAAGAAAGCTATAAACAGCAAAAATTTTGCTGTAAATTTCCCTGTGTCCTCTCTCCCTCTCTCCCTTCCCCCTCCCCGAAACTAAAGTAAAAGGAATGGTAACTGCCCGTTTTTCTGTGACCAGTGGACCTTATCTATGCTCCCAATTCCAATTCCTTGTAAACATACTTTGTAAAGTCCTGTAAGATCCTGTCTCCTTTGCCATGCCACTGCAAGGTCGTAAAGTAAATTAAACCTAAGTTGCAATTCCGGTTTTTCCTCAAAATCTAAGACATGTCACAAAATAATTTACTGCCTTTGTTTCCCACTCTGGTAACATCTTCCCGCTGCACGTGTTTCCCGCCTTAAAGAGTTTAAAAGGCAATCGCCCAAAACCAGCAGTGGCTACCCGTTCGGGACCTCTTCTATGCTGTGGAAGCTTTGTACTTTCACTCTGCTCAATAAAGCCTACAGCTTTTCCTCTCTATCGGTCCGTGTCTCTATCACTCGCTGCAGTCAGCCACCACACCACCTTTTTGGCGTGGCTAGGCAAAAACCTTAAGCGTTACACCATCTCTACTAAAAATACAGAAATTAGCTGGGTGTGGTGGGGCACACCTGTAACTCCAGCTACTCGGGTGGCTGAGGAATGAGAATTACTTGAACTGGGGAGGCGGAGGTTGCAGTGAGCAGAGATCTCGCCACTGCACTCCAGCCTCGGTGATGGAATGAAACTCTATCTCAAAAAATAAAAAAAATAAAAAATAAAAACACTGGCAGGTCAATACTGTGTCATGAGTAAATATATTATTAGCAAAGTTCCTCTAAATATATACTATTTTCTATTTAGTCCCTTACAAGTAAGAGTACAAAAACAGAAAGATTTTCCATTATAAATCATGTAAATATCTGTATACATTATACTAAATCTTGAATGATTTCTTCAGATGTAAACACATCTTTTCTTTCCCTTACAAAAGATGATGAAGAATGGAAATTTCTAAGATTGTTATGCCTGTTTTAATCTATGCAACAGGATATATGACAAAATAATTCATATTTAAAATATAACAAGATAACCAAAAGTATCACATTAAACAATAGATTAATGATACTACTTTGATATCTCTGAATAATTTTATTTTTATAATGTTTGAAAGCATTTAGTTACAGATATTATGGTAGAAAAGTAAAAGCCCAGTTATTTCCAGTATTTAGTGAGCTTTCCTGCCAGTAATCCTGGTTAAAGTAGGGCTTTTCTTCCAAGAGCCTATTTGCCAAGCCACTTGATAACATTTTATGTACAATAACAGATTGATTCACGTGTGGAGAGTACGGTATTGTGCTCAAAGTCTTTTTAAGAGCAACTTTCCAGTTACACCATAGCTTAAAATGGAAAGCTGAAAAGAAACACATAAGGACATAGTATAAATCCCCAGACCAGAAGGCATAATATTACTAACATAAGTGTTTAGCATCAATATGTCAAAACCCTTCATGTCTTATAGAATGTAACTTCAATTCTGAACTTTTGAAGAGAAGACCACTTATACAATTACCATTTCTCCTTCTTAGTGGCAATGAAAACCTTCCTTAAGGTTACCTACAATCACCACCTAACTTTAAGCAGGTTGCTAAGCACATGCCAACAGACAAGAACCGATACCCAGCATTGGGGCTACAGAAGAATAACTCTTTGTTTGTTTGTTTTTGTTTTTGTTTTCGTTTTTTAGACAAAGGCTCGCTCTGTCACCCAGGCTGGAGTGCAGTGGCGCTATCTCAGCTTATTCACTGCAACCTCTGCCTCCTGGGTTCAAGCTACTTTCCTGCCTCAGCCTCCCAAGCAGCTGGGAGTACAGGCACCTGCCACCACACCCAGCTGATTTCTTTTTTTTTTTTTTTTTTTTGTATTTTTAGTAGAGATGGGGTTTTACCATGTTGGCCAGGCTGGTCTCAAACTCCTGACTTCAGATGATCCACCCACCTCGGCCTCCTAAAGTGCTGGAATTACAGGCATGAGCCACTGCACCCGGCCAAGCATAACTCTTATGTAAGAACACTGTTCATCAACTTTGTGTTTGGTTTTTATTTAGCACAGCACACAAATGTTCATCCCAAAGGCACTTGCTTAGGCGAGAAAAAGCCAAAGCATTAAGCCTGAAATTTTTTTAAGTGTCAAAAATGATACAAATAAAGTTTTGAGATGAGAAAGGATTTTTATTTGTTTGTTTTGTTTTTACCACTTTATGAAGCCTCAAATCTCAATTTAGCTTAGTGACTAAATACAGAAATGCCAGTCTGTTTATATTTAATTCCTGCCATTTAACTGAAAAAGTTTAGACAGAATTTTGTTTTTACACTGAGTAGCTCTGCAAAATCCGTTATTAAAAAAGTTGTGTCTTGCATATGTTTGACTCTTCTGAAATGAGGAAATATGGATTATTAGATTTATTCCCTTATCTCAAGCCTCAAAGAGGTCTTACAATTAAAAGTAATGCAAATCATTTTTTAAAGTAAACACTGATGTCTGAGTAAATGAAAATTTATTTTATGACATATCTCATGCTTTCAACAATTTGGGGATTTAAATAATCAACTAGAGTGAATATTAGGCAGTTATCAAATGCTCAATTATTTACTTGTTAATTTTTAATTTCAAAATTAAAATTTTAATTTTTAAGATTTTATATGAAAAAGTTAAAAAGTCATTTTTAAAAATTCATTATGTATGCAGTTAAATATAATCCAAGTCAATGTGAGGATAGAAAATAAAAATTTTGAAGAGTTTGTGTAGAACCACATAATTTGTGTAGAACCAAAAAAGATGGTCTAAATAACAGTTCAAGCAGTAGTTTCTTCATTTTAAAACCCAATGCATTATAAAAATAATCAAACAAGCAATACATAAATAAATAGCCAAGAAAACTGTGGATATTTGTCTTTAATAATTTGGTGATGTCTTTTCAACCAATGTATTTGGTTGCATCAGCGAGAGATAGACATGTGTACTCTTCCTCATTCCCATACTCTTCCTGGCTGACTTACTGATCCACTACCTAATGAGGTATTGACCAACCATGGTGACCTAACCCTACGCAGCATGCCTTTTAATGACCACCAAGCCCAGTGAATAGCTCATGTGGGCAGCAATATTGTTTTCTCCCTGAAAATTCCATTCACTCCTACACCTTCTACTTCCAAATCAATATCTCCAACTCTGTTCTCTCCTCTGAGTCTAAACAAACATTTCTAGCTGCCGGCTTGACATTTCTACCTAGATATTCTTTTTAGAACTTCAAATATAATGCATTTTAAAACCAAATTTATTTCCGTCTATCTTTAGATCTTCACACTGTTCTCTTGTCTATTTTCAGAAATAACATCACCACAAGAGCACAGGTGGAAAACTTTAGATTTACATTTAAAGTCTCCATCACTGATGCTGGAAACCGTGGATATGGGGAAATGGTCAAACCTTTCAAATGAAGCCTTCCCATTTCCTCTTACATTTATCCTCTACCACCTATTCCTAATATGACTATCCTATCTCAGATTCCTACCATCTCTGTCCTAATTTACAGAAACCTCCAATTGATAGCTTCTCCTCTGAGAGTAGGGATAGGCTGGAGTTCCTCTCCTGATCAAATCTGTTGTTTACATCATACCAGTGAATCTTCCTAGCCATAATTCTGAAAGGCTCCCCAACTTACTAAATGAAGCCTGAAATCAGGTCCCTCATGACACAGGCTCATCTAGGATCCTATGTTGTTGTTGTTTCAGCCCTGTCAATGCATATACTCCGATTTTAAGCTGAATGCAATTAAAAAGGTCACTCTCTGACCTTCTCCCATCTTTCTTCCCCTCCCCAAAAAAAAGCCATAAAAGAATTATCTGACCCACCTCTCCTGAAAGTGGGTCATAAGACCTTCATTCAAGAGAGGCCCTGCACTATACTTAGAGGCCAAGAAGAATCTGAACGACTAGGCCTGTGTTAATCCATTTTATATTGCTATAAAAGAATGCCTGAGACTGGGTAATTTATAAAGAAAAGAGGTTTATTTGGCTTATAGTTCTACATACTGTACAAGCATGGCAACATCATCTGCTCGGCTTCTGGTGAGGCCTCGGAAGTTTACAATGATGGTGGAAGACAAAAAGGGAGTAAGTGTGTCACACGGTGAGAGAGGGAGCAAGATGAAGAAGAGGAAGAAAAGCAAGATGAAGAAGAGGAGGTGCTGGGCTTTTAAGAACCAGAACTCCTGTGAACTCATTACTGTCAGGAGGGCTCTAAGCCATTCCAGAGGATCCAGTCCCATGGTGGCAGGCCAGGTTTCCATTAGCAACCAGAACAGTTTCCAATAACCCTTCACTATAATTTTGATGAACACATAAGTTAAACTTTGAAGAACTGGAGAAACTGGTGCCTGAGTACAAGGGCTGGAATGCCAAAACAAACCCATTAAGACCATACCCGGGTTTTCTCAGACCCTAAAGTCTGATCGAATAATAATAGCATTCTTACACACCTTGTTTTGTCTTAAGATTAAGAAATTTTCCAAGACTCTAGAGAAAGCTTTCCAGACCTCAGACCCCAGTTAAAGATTAGACATAGATCGAGTGAAACACTCCTGTTTGTAGGTGCAATCTCACATCTAGCATGGAGCTTAAAATGTATGTAAGCACTAGAACAAAACTTGTAACTTTGGGTTGGTCTGGTGAGTTACTCTGACTTTCTCCTTGTAACCAGTTGCAGAAATAAACTCCCTTCATTCCCAGTCTGTCTGCATCTTGTTATTGGACTGGGAGAACAAGCAGCCAGACCCCAATTTTATCCAGGAACACCATGATTCAAACATCTCTCATTAGGCCCCACTTCCAACACTGGGGATTACATTTCAACATAAGATTGGGAGGGGACAAACATCCAAACTGGATCAAGACCTTGGTAAGTTGCCCCTAGTTTATTACCATTAGCTTCTACCCCTTTTGTCCAATAATACATCTACACGACTGTCCATTCTTCATCAAACCCAAGCATTTGAAAAAAAGATTTCCCTGTTTTGGGAGTCTTCATTTCTGACCACTCTCTTGTCATGTAACACTTTTATTAAATAAGTCTTATGCTTTTTTAGGAAATGAATATACTCCAGCCAAGATGGACTAATCACCATTTAACAATCATCTCCCACACTCACATCCTGTGAGTTTTTACTAGAAGTATTTCATGGGCTTATAATTTCTCTTTTGAATACTGTAACCTCTTTAAACCTGTTAATGCTTTAAGAACTGGCAAGCTCTTGGGGTAGTCAATAGTACTTGCTATGGTACTCCACGTAACCCACAGGGATTAAATTATGCACCAAAATCACTGAAGATGCAAAGCTCTCTTTAATCCAAGTCCTACACTGAGAGGTGTATTATATTTGATTGTAGGAAACATTCGTCTTTTGAGTAACCAAGTAAAGTATCCCAAGTAGAAATCTAATTAGAATTTATTCATATTTTCTCCTAAAATCAGGGATGCTAGAAAAAAAATGATTTTCCCATTGCAGCTGCAGTAAATGTTCTTTTCTGGAGGCATTTACATGCATTTTTAAGAGCATATAATGAACCATCTCTCCAGCATCATGCAATTATATGTGGCAACAGACACAGAAATAGCTAGTGGAACGGAAGTTGATGTGTTTTACAGACTGAACATTAACCAATTGTATGCAAATAAACTAAAAATTATTTTCAATTAGCATAGCAATCTTTTATACAAAAGGGAGACCAACATAACATGAAAAAGGCTAGTTCAGCTTTAGATGTAACAAGAAAGTGAAGCATAATGCAAAATCAGGACAAAGATATTATTTTAGCAACTCAGGACTAAATGTTGTACTCATAATCTAGTGATAAGGGATTGGTAAAACAGACTCACATTATAGAAAGGCATATATATTTTTCCATTCATTTTAGATTACTATAACCAAAGCTACAGACATTATCTATCAATTTCTTAATTTTAGATCTCAAACTCTAAAGTAGAATCTCATGTTTCCTTAGTTTCCTCATAATTTGCAAAATTATAAATTTTCCTATTTAATAATCCAGCATTTCTGGACTGAAGGTTTGTGATATTCTAACATAAACAATGTATTACAATGGTTTTTATTTGATTTTCACCCTAAGCATTGGGCCTTTTCAAGATAGAGATGAAAGCACATTTAAAACTAGTTTAAGTAATGTAGCAGCATGATTACAAAATAAATTTCAAGTTCCTGATCTTGCGTCATTAATTGCAACTTTGCTTTTTGGACAATCATGGTACCAGACAGCCAGGTGCCATTTTGAATTTGGTTTTCTGGAAGGTGCATTACTTTTTCTTCCTGTTGTTGCCTCAGAAATGACATTAACTTGATCGGATAAAATAAGTAAAACTACCTTTGATAAGAGAAGGCACAAGCAGGCATGACAGTCACAGCCATGGCATCTTAAACTTGGAGAGTCTCCAGTATTTCTATAGAATTACTGCAGGGCATTCAGGGTCTTGCTGCTTAAACACTCAAACAGTCAACAGCTGTCAGGCTGCCAACAAACTGCCTTTTTCTGGTAGCAGCTGTGTCTGCCATCACTAGCTTCCTTCACACAATTGTAGTGAACCAATAGCAAGCATTATTTTCCCCTGGAGTATTAACAGATTACTGCAGGGGACACATGAATGAGAAGGAATGCTCCTTTATTAGACAATTGAAGGAAGTGGGGAGAAGGAAAGATTAAAAGGTGTATTTTATTAACTACATGAGAAAATTATCATTGATACCTACTTGAGAAACATTTAGTTTCTAATTCTATTGCTCAGTTTTTATTACATGCTTGCAGGTGGAAATGAGGTATGAATATTCAAATACCTTTCACATGTAAGTTGCCGTCCTTCCAACCACCACCAATTTACACTCTGCCTTCATTGTCTCCCTTCTCTTCATTTAAAACATGAATCCAATTTCCTCCAAGGCAGTGACAGCTCTTGGCATTAAGGAAGGTGAATAGGTTATGAGAGATCCCTATGAATCCATAATAAAAATGAAAAAGAAGATAACTGGCTTATTTTCTCCATAGTATAGTTTTACCCTTCCATTTGTTCATTCTCCTTTATCTTTCTCCATTTAGTCTCTTCTATCCTGAATAGAAATGGAGCTATGTTCCATCAGTGAAGCAGCTTGATGAAGTGGAGGACATTAGACAAACTTTTAGTAGGGAGACAATCAATTAATATAAGCATGGTTTTCCATTTTTAAGGTTTCATAATAGTCTCGACATCCAGATTCATGTCTTGGCAACTAACTGTAACACACATGGTAAAGGCAGAAGGAAATGATTTTCAGTGGCTCACAAACTATCCTCAGGATCCCCTATGAAATATAGAAGCAAACACAATTATTCCTTGCTCTTTCCTGCCATCTTCTTCTCTCTCTTCCCAGTTCCAGACTATCTGTTTTATTATGCTTGTCTATGAAATTCCCAACCTATCAAAGACCAACTCATTTAAAAGTACCCATACTTCAATATTAACTGTCTCTCCTTCTGGTGACTAATCAAAATTTCGACACTGAGGTTGTTCTCAGCTGACATTAAGTTGAGATCTAGCTAAAGTATTGCTGTTAATGTCATCCAGAGGGAGCTACCACAGGCTTGTTTTAGAAAGTGGAGACAGAGGAGCACACAGACTGGACTATCTGAGAAAGACTGAGTCTGCATCAAAGATCTTAAAGAGTTAGGAGAGCATTTTGTTACACTTCTTGAATTCAGAGTTATAATCAAATTCTTTTCTGCATCACATGGAAACAAGTACCTAAACAGGTGGCATAAGAGACATTGTCATTTTGTTGTTAAGATAGGCAAATGGCAAGAGAGATTATTTTGGTGGAAATAATCAGCCCGAGAATACCCAAGGGTGCTTACGGTATATATAAATGAAATATTGGCACAGAGCTTAGACTATTGCAGGAAATAAAAACCAGGTAAATCATACCAGAGGGAACAGTCAGAACAAAACTTAAAGCAAAATATTTTCTAACATCTGCAGTCAAGTGCTCTGCTGGAAAATGTGAAAGATGGATTCCCTCTGGTAGCAAATGAGAAATTCAGTGGATGTATTTACAATGTTCTGTATATATTCATTGGAACATATGGCTCAATGAATTATTCTACATGATAAATCTCCACTGAGGCAGCCTGCTAACCATTCAGGTCCCAAACCTTCTGAAAGTGGCAAAACCTCCTGCCAAGTGGTGTCATTCAGAAGAACAGAGGGTAAGAGAAAATAAATTGCATGCAGCATTGGTTATTTGAGAGTGCTCCTGTGATCTGTGTAAAGCAAGGGGAGATGATGTGCCTGACTTCATCTGAGGGTTCTCTGTGTGGGTGGAGGGGCATTAAACTTTTATTTTTTTCCTAATCAGTGATTGCTGGGAAAGCACATAGTGTTTAGTAGGCAGACTCTGGTTTCCAGACATATCTCAATCTGTTTCCATCTATCTGGATTTGAAGCAATCTGGACCTCTTCCAACATTCTCTTGGCTCTGTGGCCCATTTATCCTGAGCTGTGTTAATGAACAAGATGTGCTGATTTACACAGGAGACTCACTTCTTCACTGAGGAGGTTCTTACGGCTGACTTGCTATACTTGACCGTGAAGATGATGCTCTCTACCGAATTACATCGGCACAAGGAATTTACAGAAACTGGATGTGGCTGTGATAAAAAACAGAGCAGAGCACAGTTTTGCTGGGACAACAGTGGCCATCAGGTATTCTCAGAGTCCAAGGACAAATTTTAGATAACTAATGTCTTTACAGTTTTGTCATTTGTAAAGTAGTTCTCATTTACTCATTACCACAACCATATGAGATAAATAGTATCACTATCCCTGTTTCACAGCTCAGAGCCAGATGGTTAAGTGCCTGTCCTAAGCAGGAGCTTCACTTAAGTCCTATTTCTATGTCTTAAATTATATTTTATATATACAGTGGACACTTGAATATGAAGGAATTAAAGTGCTGTGTATATTTTCAGTGCTTGAAAAGCTACTGCTAGATATATGGGTTTCCCAAAAGTTATCATCAGAATGAATGCAGAAAAACTGGAAAATTATACATTTATATCTAACGACTAACTTCTGAGTTCATTTGCAAGGGGGAAGTTTCAAAAATTTCACCTTTGCATATAAACAAAAAAGAGTAGCAAATTGCCTATCTGTGGTTATATTTGCAAAACTGTGTTCTTCTACCATTAGAAAACTTACATACATATGAAAACACTATAATTTTGAAAGTCATGGTATCTTTTTTAAAAAAGCAAATGTGATTTTTTTAATGAACAAAATTTAATTTTAAAAAATGGTTAGATTCCCAGGAAATGTAAATTCTGCCTAGGCAAAGAAAGTCAAAGTAGCTAGGAATGTCTGGTAATGAGGCCTGAGCAATAATCTGGCAACAACAAGCACAAAACTCTAATCCAAAATAAAGTACAATCTATCACACTCTCCAAACTATGTTCTCCTAACTAATACTATCAGGGATCACAATTAGCCAGATAATTATAATTTCATTATACTAACCTTGTTTCTGCAGATTTTAGCTTAACCGATACATCACATAGCTGATTCTGAGTAACAAGTGTATATAGCCGTGTCTTACAATGTGTGATCATAGTGAATGCAATCTGTAATCTTTGGGGCAAATGGTCACAGGCGTTGCATTGCTTACTACATACCTTTAAAACAATCTGAACTTCGATGCAACATTCTGTTGACAATAGCAATAAAGAGGACCAATGAGGACTTGTTCCAGCTGACTACAGAATTGCTCTGATGACCTCAACCAATTTACAAAATATATCAATTCATAAAGTTTAGTTATAGGGCTCAACTGGAAATATCTATTTATTAAAATCATCCTGAAAATACAATCTAAATGTGGGAGCATAGGGAATTATCAAAATAAATTAAAGTAGCTGTAGATAGATTAATACAATGAAATTGGATTTTTATTTTTTATTTTTATTTTACTTTTAGTTCTGGGACACAAGTGCAGAATGTGCAGGTTTGTTACATAGGTGTACATGTGCCATGGTGGTTTGCTGCACCTATCAACCCATTATCTAGGTTTAAGCCCCACACGCATTAGGTATATGTCCTAATGCCCTCCCTCCCCTCGACCCCCAGCTCCCGACTGGCCTGGTGTGTGTTGTTCCCCTCCCTGTGTCCATGTGTTCTCATTGTTCAACTCCCACTTATGAGTGAGAACATGTGGTGTTTGGTTTCCTGTTCCCGTGTTAGTTTGCTGAGGATGATGGCTTCCAGCTTCATCCATGTCCCTGAAAAAGAACATGATGTTATTCTGTTTCATGATTGCATAGCATAATATGGTATATATGTACCACATTTTCTCTATCCAGTCTCATTGATGGGCATTTTGGTTGATTCCATGTCTTTGCTATTGTAAAT
Organism: Homo sapiens; assembly: GCF_000001405.40. Taxonomy (NCBI): domain Eukaryota; kingdom Metazoa; phylum Chordata; class Mammalia; order Primates; family Hominidae; genus Homo; species Homo sapiens. The sequence continues at coordinate 129,451,775 of NC_000004.12, read as the reverse complement.
AGTGCTGCAATGAACATACATGTTCATGTGTCTTTAGAGTAGAATGATTTATATTCCTTTGGGTATATACCCAGTAACGGGATTGCTGGGTCAAATGGTATTTCTGGTTCTAGATCCTTGAGGAATCACCACACAGTCTTCCACAATGGTTGAACTAATTTACATTCCCACCAGTGTAAAAGTGTCTCTATTTCTCCATAGCCTCACCAGCATCTATTGTTTCTTGACTTTTTAATAATCACTATCCTGACTGGCATGAAATGGTATCTAATTGTGGTTTTGATTTGCAGTTCTCTAATGATCAGTGATGTCGAGCTTTTCTTCATGTTTTTTGGCCACATAAATGTCTTTTTTTGAGAAGTGTCTAGTCTGATCATATCCTTTGACTACTTTTTGATGCGGTTGTTTTTTTCTTGTAAATTTGTTTAAGTTCCTTGTATATTCTGAATATTAGGCCATTGTCAGATGAGTATATTGCAAAAATTTTCTCCCACTCTCAAGGGTGCCTGTTCACTCTGATGATAGTTTGTCTCTGTGTAGATGCTCTTTAGTTTAATTAGATACCATTTGTCCATTTTGGCTTTTGCTGCAATTGATTTTGGCATTTTCATCATGAAGTCTTTGCATGTGCCTATGTCCTGAATGTGTATTGCCTAGGTTTTCTTCTAGGGTTTTTATAATTTCAGGTTTTACATTTAAGTATTTAATCCATCGTGAGTTAATTTTTGTATAAGGTGTAAGAAAGAGGTCTAGTTTCATTTTTCTGCATATGGCTAGCCAGTTTTCCCAGGACCATTTATTAAATAGGGAATCCTCTCCCCATTGCTTGTTTTTGTCAGGTATGTCAAAGATCAGATGATTGTGGATGTGTGGTATTATTTCTGAGGTCTCTGTTCTGTTCCATTGGTCTATATGTCTGTTTTGGTACCAGTACCATGCTGTTTTTGTTACTCTAAGCTTGCAGTATAGTTTGAAGACAGGTAGCGTGATGTCTCCAATTTTGTTCTTTTTGCTTAGGATTCTCTAGGCTATACGGGCTCTTTTTTGGCTCTATATGAAATTTAAAATAGTTTTCTCTAATTCTGTGAAGAAAATCAATGGTAGTTTGATGGGAATAGCATTGATTCTATAAATTACTTTGGGCAGTATGGCCATTTTCATGATATTGATTCTTCCTATCTATGAGGATGGAATGTTTTTCCATTTGTTTGTGTCCTCTCTCATTTCCTTGAGCAGTTGTTTGTAGTTCTCTTTGAAGAACTCCTTCACATCCCTTGTTAGCTGTATTTTTAGGGATTTTATTCTCTTTGTAGCAATTGTGAATGAGAGTTCATTCATGATTTGGCTCTCTGCTTGTCTATTGTTGGTGTATAGGAATGCTTGTGATTTTTCCACATTGATTTGGTATCCTGAGACTTTCCTGAAGTTGCTTATCAACTTAAGGAGTTTTGGGGCTCAGACGACAGGGTTTTCTAAATATACAATCATGTCATCTGCAAACAGACAATTTGACTTTCTCTCTTCTTATTTGAATACCATTTATTTCTTTCTCTTGCCTGATTGCTCTGGCCAGAACTTCCAGTACTATGTTGAATAGGAGTGGTGAGAGAGGGCATCATTGTCTTGTGCCGATTTTCAAAGGGAATGCTTCCAGCTTTTTCCCATTCAGTATAATATTGGCTGTGGGTTTGTCGTAAATACCTCTTACCATTTTGAGATACGTTCTATCAATACCTACTTTATTGTGAGTTTTTAACATGAAGGGATGTTGAATTTTATTGAAGGCCTTTTCTGCATCTATTGAGATAATCATGTGGTTTTTGTCATTGGTTCTGTTTATGTGATGGATTACGTTTATTGATCTGTGTATGTTGAACCAGTCTTGCAGCCCAAGGATGAAGCTGACTTGATTGTGATGGGTACATTTTTCAATGTGCTGCTGGATTTAGTTTGCCAGTATTCTATTGAGGATTTTCACATTGATGTTCATCAGGAATAATGGCCTGAAATTTTCTTTTTTGTGTTTGTCTCTGCCAGGTTTTGGTATCAGGATGATGCTGGCCTCATTAAATGAGTTAGGGAGGAGTTCTTCCTTTTCAGTTGTTTGGAATAGTTTCAGAAGGAATGGAACCAACTCCTTTTTGTACCTCTGGTAGAATTCGGCTGTGAATCCATCTGGTCCTGGGCTTTTTTTGGTTGGTAGGCTATTAATTGCTGCCTCAATTTCAGAACTCGTTATTGGTGTCTTCAGGAATTTGACTTCTTCCTGGTTTAGTCTTGGGAGGGTGTATGTGTCCTGGTATCCATTTCTTCTAGATTTTCTAGCTTATTTGCATAGGGGTGTTTATAGTATTCTCTGATGGTAGTTTGTATTTCTGTGGGATCGGGGGTGATATCCCCTTTATCATTTTGTATTGTGTCCATTTGATTCCCCTCTCTTTTCTTCTTTATTAGTCGAGCTAGCTGTCTATCTATTTTGTTAATTTTTTCAAAAAACCAGCTCCTGGATTCATTGAGTTTTTGAAATTTTTTTTGTGTCTCTATCTCCTTCCGTTCTGCTCTGATCTTAGTTATTTCTTGTCTTCTGCTAGCTTTTGGATTTTTTTGCTCTTGCTTCTGTAGTTCTTTTCATTGTGATGTTAGGTTGCCAATTTGAGATCATTCTAGCTTTCTGATGTGGGCACTTAGTTCTATAAATTTCCCTCCTAACACTGCTTTAGCTGTGTCCCAAATATTCTGGTACATTGCCTCTTTGTTCTCATTGGTTTCAAAGAACTTATTTATTTCTGCCTTAATTTCATTATTTACCCAGGAGTCATTATTTACCAAGGTTGTTCAATTTCCATGTAGCTGTGTGGTTTTGAGTGGGTTTCTTAATCCTGAGTTCTAATTTGATTGCACCGTGGTCTCAGAGACAGTTTGTTATGATTTCCATTCTTTTGCATTTGCTGAGGAGTGTTTTACTTCCAATTATGTGGTCGATTTTAGAATAAGTGCCATGTGGCACTGAGAAGAATGTATATTCTGTTGATCTGGGGGGAGAGTTCTTTAGATGTCTATTAGGTCCACTTGATCCAGAGTTGAGTTCAAGTCCTGAATCTCCTTGTTGATTTTCTGTCTTGTTGATCTGTCTAATATTGACAGCGGAGTGTTAAAGTCTCCTACTATTATTGTGTGCGAGTCAAAGTCTCTTTGTAGGTCTCTAAGAACTTGCTTTATGAATCTGGCTGCTCCTGTATTGGGTGTATATATATTTAGGAGAGTTATGTCTTCTTGTTGCATTGATCCTGTTACCACTATGTAATGCCCTTCTTTGTCTTTTCTGATCTTTGTTGGTTTAAAGCCTGTCTTGTTAGAGACAAGGTTTGCAACCCCTGCTTTTTTTTTTTGCTTTCCATTTGCTTGGTAAATATTCCTCCATGCATTTATTTTGAGCCTATGTGTATCTTTGCATGTGAGATGGGTCTCCTGAATACAGCACACCAATGGGTCTTGACTCTTCATCCAATTTCCAGTCTGTGTCTTCTAATTGGGGCATTTAGCCCATGTATATTTAACATTAATATTGTTATGTGTGAATTTGATCCTGTTATCATGATGCTACCTGGTTATTTTGCACACTAGTTGATGCAGTTTCTTCATAGTGTCATTGGTCTTTATATTTTGGTGTGTTTTTGCAGTGGCTGGTACTGGTTTTTCCTTTCCATATTTAGTGCTTCTTTCAGGAGCTCTTCCAAGGCAGACCTGGTAGTGATGAAATCCCTCAGCATTTGCTTGTCTGGAAAGGATTTTATTTCTCCTTCACTTATGAAGCTTAGTTTGGCCAGATGAAATTCTGGGTTAAAAATTCTTTTCTTTAAGAGTGTTGAATGTTGGCCTCCACTCTCTTCTGGTTTGTAGGGTTTCTGTGGAGAAGTCCATTGTTAGTCTGATGGGCTTCCCTTACAGGTCACCTGGTCTTTCTCTCTGGATGCCCTGAACTTTTTTTCCTTCATTTTGACCTTGGAGAATCTGATGATTATGTGTCTTGATGTTGGTCTTCTCATGGAGTATCTTAGTGGTGTTCTCTGTATTTCCTGAATTTGAATGTCAACCTGTCTTGCTAGGTTGGGGAAGTTCTCCTGGATAATATCCTGAAGTGTGTTCTCCAACTTGGTTCCATTTTCCCTGTCTCTTTCAGGTACTCCAATCAAGCATAGGTTTGGTCTTTTTATGTAGTCCCATATTTCTCTGAGGTTTTGTTTATTCTTTTTTATTCTTTTTTCTCTAGTTTTGTCTGCATACCTTATTTCAGCAAGATGGTCTTCAAACTCTGATATCCTCTCTTCTGCTTGGTTGATTTATGATACTTGCGTATGCTTCACAAAGTTCTCATGCTCTGCTTTTCAGCTCCATCAGGTCAGTTATGTTCCTCTCTAAACTGGTTATTCTAGTTTGCAGCTCCTGTAGTATTTTATCGAGGTTCTTAGCTCCTTTGCGTTGGGTTAATACATGCTTCTTTAGCACAACAGAGTTTGTTATTAGCCACCTTCTGAAGCCTACTTCTGTCAATGTGTGCATCTCATCCTCCATCCAATTGTGTCCTTGCTGGAGAAGCATTGTGATCATTTGGAGAAAAGGGCCTCTGGTCATTTGGGTTTTTAGCATTTTTCATTGATTCTTTCTCATCTTCGTGAGGTTTTTCTAGTATCAATCTTTGAGGCTGCTGACCCTTGGATGGGGTTTTTGTGAGGACTTTTTTTGTTGATGCTGTTGTTGTTGCTGTTCATTTGTTTGTTTGTTTTTTCAATAGTCATGTCCCTATTCTGTAGGGCTGCTGTGATTTGCTGGGGGCTCACTTCGGGCTCTATTTTTATGGTTTGCCCCCACGCCTGGGAGATGAGCCTGGAGAACAGCAAAGATGCGTGCCTGCTCCTTCCTCTGGGATCTCTGACCTCAAAGGGCACTGACCAATAGGCATACTCCTGCAGAGGGTGTCTGACAACTCCTGTTGAAGGGTCTCACTCAATTGGGTAACACAGGGAACTGGACCAGTTTAATGAAGTACTTTGACTGTCTCTTGGTGGAGGGTTTGTGCTTTACTCGGGGGGAAATCCACTCATCTGGGCTACCTGGATTCCTCACAACTAGCAGGACGAAAGACTATATCTTCTGGTCAGTGGAGACTGGCCACCCCTCTCACTAGGGGCTCAGGGCCAGGGAGATCAAAGTTTTGTCCCTGAGCCCCTGGCTGGAGTTGCTGGAGTTCCTGCAGGGAGGCCTCACCCAGTGAGCAGGGATGGGTCAGGGCCATGCCTGGAGAGGCACTCTGGCCACAGTCTGCCACAGCTGATGTGTTGGGCTTGAACCAAGCCATCCAGCCTCCCTGGCTCCAGCAGGGGAAAAGTGTGGCCTGGAACTATAAAGATGGCTGCCACCCTTCCCCCACCCTGGGAGCTTAGTGTGTTAGGCAGCTTTAGGTCTGAGTGTTGGCTGCTGCCCCTCCCCAAGGAGCTCAGATGACTCAGATAGCAGGAAGCTGCAGCTGTGGTGATGCCACCCCTCCCACCAGGAACTCGGCAGGCTTAAGCAGATTCTAGCTGAGTGGCTATTGAAAATCTGACTGGCTCCCTGATTGGGACCCTAGGCTCCAGTGACATGGGTTCACAAGTGGGATCTTCCAACCCATGGGTCACACAGTTTTATGGAAAAAGCATGGTTTCCAAGGCTGAGTAGCACACTCACTCACCACCTCCCTTGGCCGGGGGCATGGGGGGTCCCTGCCCTGTGTGGCTCTCAGGTGGGCTGCCATACCACACTGCTCTTCCTTCTTCTCTGTGGATCACGCCAGCCACCTGAACTTGGATTTTTAACAGGCATGTCTAAAAAAATGCAAGGAAATCCTCATAACCAAACACAAGCAAAACACATTATTATAAACCAGGAGGAAGAAGAGAATGTAATTAGGATGATAAAAGCCCCATACTGAGGCTTTGAAGTAAAATGCTAAAAATTCTAAAATGACATCACTGGATATATTGCTTAGGAAAATAAGATTTTAAAATAGACTTGATTCTAAGGCTGGCTTTGTTGCATTTTTAACTGTGGACCCTGGAAAATATACTTAATTTCTCTGATTTATAGTTTCTGCATTTGTAAAATGAGGATAACAATACTTCTCCATTGGGTTTCTGAGAATTGAATAAAATAATGTAAATAAAACACCTAGCTTCATACCTAGCACAGAGTTAGCACACAATGAACATTTGTTTTACTTGATGCTTAGGGAAAGGAAGGCACAGGCTCAGTATTTGAGATATGTGGTACAAAGATAACCAGAGACAGCGAGAAAGCAAGGCTACTCGATTTCCATTTCACTTTCATTCTTTACTAAAGACAATGATCCTCCCATTGGAAAATATGGAACAGACTTGGTTACCAGGGGACTAGAGTATAAATTAGATAAGGAAATGATAAGAGTAAACTAAATTGCTTTACATTACCTTTAAGACTCCAAATACAGATTAAATGCACACAAAAATAGTAAAAGAATATCCATATGTAATTGTGGAATGGCTACTGGCACATATCTAGACAATATGCAAAGATTTAGAAAAACTAAAAATAATTTTGAAAAACTCTCCAATTTTCAAACATGAGTGGAAGCAGATTCTGGAAATTACAGCATGCTATGCTCTATCGGCCTTTGCCTCCAACTCTTGCTCTGCCTTTTTGTAGTACTCCTATCCACCATAGGTGAGCCCACCAATGAATCCATAGTGGGCAGGCCTTCTTCCAGACCCAATCTTATTGAGACAAAACAAATTTTCTACCTGTGAGAATTAGAATTCAGTTCTTTATGTAGATCCAACTTCTCCCAAGTGCTTTCTTCTAAGTGTCCTTGTACCTTCTCCAAATGATGTGGTAACTTTATATCCACCTCAGGCAAAACTTGAGAATGCCAACCAAGAAGAGGTAAGAGACCAGACTATGAATCAGTGCGACAAGGCATTTTGGGGGGTCTTAGAAATTGCAATTCAGGAGACAAAGATTTGCTGAAGGGTCAAATTGTGTTCCAAAGAGAGGGAGGAGAGTTAAGATATTTTATTTTAATGCTGAGGGTGATTACACAAATTGTTTTGAAAGAGCTATCATTGGTCGAGGCAGCCATAATTCATTGGTTGTCACTGTCCCAGAAATTGCAGCACTGGTGAAATTCAGCTGCTTTCCATGATGTTGTGATCATTGCAGTTTGGCAGTTAAAAGATTCAAGGCAAATTCCTGTTTTTTGGTTTTGTTTTTGTTTTTCTGTGCAAGGTCATGGAGAAAGTCCTTCTGAGAATGGCTTCTTGACTCCATTTTGAGCTCTGCTGCATAGTGATGCCATTTTGTATATCACATTTCACAAGAATAAAAGTTTAGGTGGATGTTTTATGGGTATTTTCCACATAAAACAGTAATTACTAGCAGCTACAATGGCTCCACTGAGAATAAATCATGTCGATTTTATTTCCTTTGCAATAGAATCCCTATATTAGCAAAGAAGAATAACCTAGATAGAATAAATATGGATTTCAGAAAGAAATATGACCAATTTTCCCATGATTCCCTAAGAGATTTGGAGGCTAGATGATAGTAGAATTCAGGGCATTCATAGCTGTTTCAGCTATGGCCAAATTGTAAATTAATATATTGATATAGGCCTCAAAATAGAGTACTAGTTGAGGCATGTACTTAATCCTGCCTTTTCCCATTTTTATCAGTGATCTATTAAGTCACACAAAGCATTTTCATTAAATAGATAAGACATTTTTATTAAATGTATATGTAACTAACTTAAAATTTAGATTCATTTATTGATGACAAATTTTAAAAACTCATATTGGATTGGAAGAGTAGATTGTAGCTAACATGGTATAACTCAATAGGAATAAATATAAAAAAGAAATAATAGTTCAAAAATCTACTATAGAATTTCACAGTAAAAGAAACCTAATGTAAGAGCAGTTCTTGTTTTAAAAAAATGCCTATCATAAGATAATAATGAAATGTAGCTGCAAAAATAGCTAATATTACTCTAGGTTGTAAATAAATATCAATGCCAAAAAAAGAGAAAAGTAAAACTCACACTGTACTATGAATTTTTCCCTCCAAAACAAGTTCACTGCATTTTGTCCTGGACTCTACATTTTAAAAAGATACAGACATGCTAAAGTTGTCCATAGGAGAGCAACAAAAAAAATTAAGTGTCTATAAATTACATTATTTGAGGAATATTAGAATTAACAAAGACTGGTAAAGTGAAGGCATAGTAGAAACATAAGAGCTATTATCAAATATTTGAAAGAATTAAGAAGAAAGATTAGGATGTACTGCAGGATAGCTCCAAATGTCAGAAGTAAGATTAAAACTATAGGTAACAGGAAGACATCTTTCAGCTCAACACAATTTCCAAATAAATAAAATTGTAACGGTAAGGTAAGCTCTCCCAACTCAGATGTCCCAGGCATAGATTGAAATGACCACTAGCACTCATTTGAGCACTATGGGAGAGGCTGCACCAGGCAATTTCTACAGGTTCCTTCAATCATAAATCCATCAGACCATCAGCATTTCACTTTCAAGAGGGATTTTTTTAGTGCTATTGTTCCCAGTTTCATATTGTATCAAGCCATATTTTTAAAGTTAGTTTCCTTTTGCTAGTAGCCTAAAGCAAAGGTCTATGTTTAGAATTAAAGGAGAACTTTTATGGGATTATCTGCAGATTTTTATGAATATCAGTCCACCTTTACAGACACCCCAAAGAAGGGAGCAGTTCATCATTCATCAGCTGTGACCTCTGGACTAGTTTCTTTACTTGGAGAAAAATTGAGGTTCCACCCCATCATATTTATACTTGCTTGACTTCACAACTGCAATACGCCCCTCTAGAGAGAAGTTCATTGTTGGTGTCATGAGCATCAACCGATGGAATCTAAGCTGCTCTCACAATGATTACACCATCCCTCACTCCCCTTAAGTTTCATGGCCCAGAGCATGCCCATGGCTCACTTCCCGCAGACTCATTCTGATCAATGCAACACAAGCATACAGTGTGCGTTCATAGAGCCAAAGGCAATCAACGTCCCAGGGTACTCTAATTGTAGACAGAATTTCAGCTTTATTAGGTAACTGTCATATTTGCCTTGGTGTCTCTTAAAATTTAAAAATGGGAGAAAAATATAAATGCAGAAAAGCTATAAGTTAACTTAGCTCTCTGTTGTAATAAACATGAACTATGAACATGCATTATGGAAATTAGATGGAAAGCCCAGAGAGTGATAACAGATAAGAAATGTGAATGTGGTGAGATCATAAAAATCATAAGTGTTGGATATCAGAAAGTGGTTTTCTTTTTAAACAGACTGGTCAAGTTTTTTGCTTAGCTTATTTGATATGCCATACAACCCTCTATCACCACAATGCACTATGGAGTCAAAGGGCACAGTAATGCAAAGAAAGTTAGAAATCTAAGAGACAGTATACACAATGGAAAGTAAAGGAAGGAAGTATTAAGGTCTGGAGGATAAAACCCACATATAATTATTGTCTCTATTGAGATACAGATGTGGACATTATTGTCTTGATTTCTCCACATAATTTCTCTGTCTCAGCATACAGGTCCCACTGTGCGTTCATTTCAGGGTATCTTTCTTTAATCTTAACAGTGTTACTTTAAAAGTGGTGGCAAATTTTTTTTAGGTAAGAAAATTTGTTGTTTCACAAATAATAGCCTTGAAAGGCTATTTTATATATATATGTATATATATATGAACAGTTTCTTTGCCATGACCAGATCAGACAGTGAATGAGACAAAATAAAACTCTGTAAAAAGAAAAAAGTTTTTTGAGTTTCCACTAGCTGCCCTATAAACAGAGAGTAAGAATAGTCCTGGGAATCTGGAAAAGCAGAGGGGCTAGGAGCCATAGAGGAGAAGGCCAGCGAAATGGCAGGAGGCTCTGACGTGTGAACAAAAATCAGCCAGTGAGAAACGTGCAGGTGGTTTGGCCACATTTAAGGATGGGGATAGCTATCAGAATAAATTGTCTGTCTATCGTGCTCTGATGAAATATGCAATCTCCTTCCAGAGTGACCCCTCACCTTCAGTAACAGTCTAGTCACACAATTGTCTTCTGTGAATTTCAAAATGAAAATTAGGGCATAGGAGCCCGATTGCCCATTTGGATCAACTGAGAATAGATAAATGGAAAAGAGCATAAATGAAAAAGACCAATGGAGAATTTGTCAGCTTCAACAAATGGGAATAACAAGCAATTCAGAAGAAATAGATTCTGTCTGAGAGTATTTAGAAATATTGATTAGGAAACCATAGATGATGTTGAGGTGAATAAGGAATTGAATCATTTTTATTTAAACACCATTCAACAGAATGACCCAAACACACTAGAGAACTAGGAGACATAGGTACAGCTGAAATCTGGAGTAAGCACCTAAAAATTCGCTATTAACATGACTCTTGGTGGTATTAGAGTAGAACAGTTGTTCTCACTCTGTCTCTTTAAGGTCTGACATGGGGTCAAAGCTGGGATTAGGGCAGGCAGAATGGGAGAAACTCTGGGTCCCTATGGCTATTTCAACCAAAGCAGGTCCAATTTTGTGTGGTTTGCACAAGATTATGCACTGATTATGTGGTTTGCACTGAGATTATGTATAATATTTGAATTTAAGTAGGGACCCTTATATTAATATGTAAGTATAAATTAAAATGTTTTAAATGTTGTAATACTATTGCTGAAAATACCCAAGCATTGACTGAATCAGACTAGCAAGTATTTACAGCTTGTGATATGATTTACAATTTTCCAAAGGGAAGCAGAATGGAGGGTAAAAGGGGAATGAGGAGAAGAGGAGAGACCTGGTGGTCAATCACTAAATTCAGGTTTTATTTAATCAGTTTTTAATTCAAACCAAATCCCACCTTCTTGTCCCAATCCCAGAAGTTTTATCTTTAGAAATTCCATCTCATGACCTAGTTTCATGACAATTTCTGTAGCATCCAAATGAAAAAAGTTCTATTTTGTTTTCCCATTCGTTTCCATAAGAATGAATACAGTACAATTTTGTTGCTGAGACTAGATGGCTGTTCACCTCTTCTTTCTGAACACACATCTACACTACAGCTTCGAGCCTTACTTGTAAATAGCTGTGGTCATGTTGCTGAATCCTAATCAACAAAATATGAGTGAATGTAAAGTTCACTAATCCCAGGACTGGACCTTTAAAACCATCCATATTCTTCTACCTCTACCTGGGTGTTAATCCCCAGGACAACCTTAGAATCTTTAAGCTGAAGATAGTAGATCTATTGGCCTGGATCTGTGAATACTATTGTATTCTAATGTTGACTTGTTATAAAAACTGATGTTACCTAAACTAGTAAATATATATAACCTTCCTTATCTACTTTTTTCTCCTCTTTAGCCATTTAGCAAAACTTCAGAAGTGTTCTATTCACTACGTAATTTAATTTTCTATATGAACTAATAGAGATGACAATGAAATTGGTATTTATCTATGCCAAACATGGAAACAAAACCTTATTCCATTTAGGGTCCATGGAGAAGCCTATACATTCATCAAAACACATTTTCTGATAAGACTCCTATATAGCACTAATAGGGTAGTGTGGGAGAGTTGAGAATTATCCACTTCCCAAAAGTTTCTCAGCTATATTTTCTAGCCAGTTATTTACTGCTCTACCCAAGCAGTTTTAAGAAGGTAGAAGTATGATAAGACCATCCAAAAAGGCTTTGGCACTTTAGCAGTTGTGAAAGACTAAGCAACTTGACAACTGATGGTAAATCACTTCCCTTGTTTTGCTGGTGGAGACACGCCAGAACAAAATCCCACCTTGGATATTTGAGGTGGTTCACAAGTTCTATTTTGGAATTTTTCAGTTGTCGTTCCAAATCACTAAAGCATGCTTATTTGTTCTTAAATATCTCCTTCATCTGCAATAATTCACACTTCTTTAACATGTGAGAACCATTGTACATACTCGTATATTCCAATTTATGTGTTTTTCTTTAGGCATATTCAGAATAAACTACCTATGAAATGGTAGGCAACCTTCTGAATTTTTCTTTGATAATAAAGGGAATTTGACTGAAGGGATTAATTGACACTGTGGGTAACATAAGATGCTGCAATTTTTTTTTCTAGAGGACCCATGAGAGAGGAATGTAGTAAAAATTTAAATACAGCTTGTCCAGAGGAATCTGCTGCAATATATTGTAGAATATTTAGAAACCACAAGTGTAAAATGCAAAATAATGCTTATACATCAGATTTTTAGTGAGATAGTTATTAAAACTCATTTTAATGTCAGAAAAGTTTTATTTCTTTTCAGGCCTCAAAAATGCAAACAAAAATCAATGGAGACGTGAAATGATGGTGCCGGTAGATATGGTTGTGAGCTTTGGTTCTATACCACTACTCAACCTAGAGCATCATTTAAATTTTCCTTACAAGGAGGGAGGTTAAGGAGAGAAGAAGGGAGGCACTGGATGTGAATTTAACTTCTCCAGTTGTCTCAAATACATAGTGATTATTGAGTAACTTGATCTCTTTCTTAGTTTAATGGAGAAATATATATTATCATTTCTTTTTGTGCAAAAGTACAAATAAAATGCCATCTAAATGGCATTGCTTTTATAAGGATGAACAGGTAATCTCATGCCAGTTTCAGTTCAGACTGATTGTTCCATCTCTTTAAAAAGGAAATACACTTAAAGATGCATTTAGCTTAGAGAAGTTTAGCAATAATGGTTGCCTAATAAAAACAATTTCTTAGTGTCTTCAACGGGCCCTGATAACGAAATGCATCACAGCTGCAAAATAAGTAGCCCAATGAGTATCTTCTGCTGATGGTGATTGATCCGGTCTCATAATGAAGTGAAAGCTTTTTTAGAGCCAAAGCAATTTTTATCCACATCCTTTACCAGGAGAAACCATAATGAATTGTGTTAAGTTGCCAGCATTTATTGAAAATTTCATCTTAGGATGTTGGCCAGATGTCATTATATCAGAATTAAGTGCAGACTGAGAGCCTTTCGTTAATGTACAGAATCTCTTCCATCACTGTTCTGGAGTTGGTTTAGGTCTGCCTCCAAATATTACAGAGAAATAAAATAGGCTTTAAACTACAAGTGATTAAGTGCTTTATGCACATCACATCTTGTTTCTTCTCTTATGAGTAAAGTAATTACTTAAATGTAATTACTTAACTGCAGTTCCAATATACACTTAGTCTAATAAGTGAAATAACAATATTTTTAAAGCCTTACACTGACCTGGATGTTTCTAAATAATTTTACATACTCTATATCACTTGCAACCTGAAAACTGTTTTAGTAATTTTTTTCACATTATTCTGGGTAACAATGTGAAAGGTATAATAATTACTTATCATTCTAAAAAGTAAATGAATACTGAAATCATCAGTACAGAGGAAAGCATTTTCATTTAAAAAGTGATATTGAATGGATTCTCTCACCTAGTATATTGAAATCGTGATATATCTTACTTTTACATTAGTTCATGTCATCAGACATAATCTCTTTCCTTGACTTGATGAATCTTATAGAATTACTGTCAAGCTATATTTGGCTGAGAGATCTGTTTATATGAAATTGATTTGTAGTTTTGCAGCTAACTAAAAAGGTAAATCCATCTGCTATCTGTCATCTCACCTTTCTATGAAAGGCTGCAGGATGAAATCTAGAACATATGAAAAATGTCTTGGCTGCTTTATTTTCATATATTAAACCAGAGTTTTCAGCATTTTAGACGAAATGTTCTCTCAACTGTAGTTGTAAAAACCACTAATTCTCATTTCTAACATCAGCATATTTAAGTTGACTACATATATTCAGTTGCAAAGCAGATCCCTCTCTTTAGACGAGGGTCATTGTATAAGAAACACCATGCATCGGTCCATAGCATGTGAACTTATTTAGCCTGGTTATATAGAACTCTGATTTTATACAGAGCAGAAAAGAAAGAGTGGAGTTTTCATTTGAGGCATACTTAATGGGTTAAGTATTTTTCATCTTCAGTAACAACACCTCAGATTACCATAAATAGTATATTGCAACTAAGAAAGCTTTCAGGTTTAAATATTAGAAGAAATATATTTAGCCAAATCAAAAGTGCCATTTGTTTTGAAGCATGCTATTTACTTTTACCTAATACTGGTCACGTGATTTAAATTAAGTTCCTAAAGGGTTTGCAAAAGTTTTGCTTTTTGCGTATTCGAACCATAACAATACATTTTGAATCCAACTATGTTAAAAAACTGATAATTCCAGAAATGTAAAAAGCACCATATATATGTGTACATGTATTTGTATGTGTGGTATTATTTGCGATGAGGTTGGTAGTTATAAATTTTTCTGTAACTGATGTATTTATGCCAGCTTATGTCTGCAAAATGAATTCTAAATTGTCATAAATTCAACTAATTCATTAATTAATTTGCTTATTGATTTTCCTTCTATTCTGCTGGTGCAAATATTTTTAGAATTATTACTTTGGGATAAAGTAATTTATAATTTATTGTGTGTGTGTGTGTGTGTGTGTGTGTGTGTGTATTGGTACTCGGATCCATGAATATCTCTGTCTTATCCTATACAAACCAAGGCTTTTTAAAGTGTCACATTTGAAAAAAAATAAGTTTAACAGAAGTATTCCACTTAGTGCTCCCATTCAACATCAACAAACTCCCTCTGTACCATCCCTGAGCACTAGAAAAGTTAAGATTTACAGTAGAATCTTATAGCCCAGAGCATGTTTTGGGAAATATGCCTCTCTGCTGTGGCACATGTATACATATGTAACAAACCTGCACGTTGTGCACATGTACCCTAAAACTTAAAGTATAACAAAAAATAAAAATAAAAAATTTTTTTAAAAAAGATATTTACTGGTACTATGACTTGAGGGTATAACTATTTGGAATTTTCTACAGGATGTTTCTGCCAGAAAAAGGACAGAATACAGTAAAGTGAATAGTGGTCTTGCCATAAAATGTGAGTCTGTCCCCCAAATAGTAAACTCCTGGATTTAATACTGTATAAAACACTCTTTCATACATCAAACAACTTTCTTTATGTGGCTTCCCCTAGGGACTGAAACACTCTGAAAGAAATTAATTTCCCCCAATACGCAGGCATGTGCATGCACACACACACACACACACACACATGCACACACCCTAAAAGTAGTGCCTGCTCTAATGAGTGAACTCACAAATCCATAGATACATGCACAATAAGAAAATATTTTTTACAATGCCTCATTATAAGTTAAAAGAGTGCTGTAGCATCCCTGTACAATTTGGGCAAGTGTTTCTCTGCCTGTGGATGTGTATTTTTAATAGCAACCAGTGCAGTCTACTTGTCTATTCTGAAAGTTCATTACCATTCTTTTACCTTCCCTGTTTAGAGTATCGTATTTCCTGTACTTTTAATTTTGGTATTTCTTAGCACCTATAAAGGGTAGCAGGTGGCCTCTTTTGGAGCCTGAATTCTATTCATGTGCAAGTAAATTCAGAGAGCTATCTTGTCTCTTCTGTAGCCCCTTTCTAGAGGGAGCTGATTTCAGTGGTGGGAGATTATTTGATGTCTCTTCTTGTTTGGTCTCTAGTGATTCCATTGAACCTGCATCTGAGACTGTGGGTCTTGAAATAAAAATCCTGTTTATGGAGAAATGTTCAAGATGGTTATTTCATCACCTATAAACTATTAGGGGTTTATGAGAACCTACATTTAGCACAACCTAAAACTGAAGTTATCTCTTTAAGTTTCTCACGTTATTTTGTATATTAAGATTCAAAACCAAAATATCATTGGTCTAAACATTGTTAGAATAGAACCAGACTATGCCAATATCACTAATATAGAACCATTTAAAAGAAGCCAGGCGTGGTGGTCCATGCCTGTAATCCCAGCACTTTGGGAGGCTGAGGCAGGCGGATCACCTGATGTCAGGAGTTGGTGATCAGCCTGGCCGACATGGCAAAACCCCCATCTCTACTAAAAATACAAAAATTAGCCAGGCGTAGTGGCAGGTGCCTGTAATCCCAGCTACTTGGGAGGCTGAGGCAGAAGAATCGGTTGAACCTGAGAGGCGGACGTTGCAGTGAGCCAAGATCACTGCACTCCAGCCTGGGTGACAGAGCCAGACTCTGTGTCAAAAAAAAAAAAAAACATTTAAAAGAATACACTGCAGATTCTGGATATTAGCCCTTTGTCGGATGGATAGATTGCAGAAGTTTTCTCCCATTCTGTAGGTTGCCTGTTCAATCTGATGGTAGTTTCTTTTGCTGTACAGAGACTCTTTAGTTTAATTATATCCCATTTGTCAATTTTGGCTTTTGTTGCCATAGCTTTTGGTGTTTTGGACATGAAGACTTTGCCCATGCTTATGTCCTGAATGGTATTGCCTAGGTTTTCTTCTAGGATTTTTATGGTTTTAGGTCTTATGTTTAAGTCTTAAACAAATTTACAAGAAAAAAACAACCCATCAAAAAGTAGGCAAAGAATATGAACCGACACTTCTCAAAAGAAGACAATTATGCAACCAACAAACATATTAAAAAATGCTCCTCATCACTGGTCATTAGAGAAATGCAAATCAAAACCACAATGAGATACCATCTCACGCCAGTTAGAATGGTGATCATTAAAAAGTCAGGGAACAACAGATGCTGGAGAGGATGTGGAGAAATAGGAATGCTTTTACACTGTTGGTGGGAGTGTAAATTAGTTCAACCATTGTGGAAGACAGTGTGGTGATTCCTCAAGGATCTAGAACTAGAAATACCATTTGATCCAGCAATCCCATTACTGGGTATATACCCAAAGGATTATAAATCATTCTACTATAAAGACACATGCATAGGTATGTTTATTTGTGGCACTATTCACAATAGTATAGACTTAGAACCAACCCAAATGGCCATCAATGATAGACTGAATAAAGAAAATGTGGCACACATACACCATGGAATACTACGCAGCCATAAAAAGGATGAGTTCATGTCCTTTGCAGGGACATGGATGAAGCTGGAAACCATCATTCTCAGCAAACTAACACAAGAACAGAAAACCAAACGCTGCGTGCTCTCACTCATAAGTGGGAGTTGAAAATGAGAACACATGGACACAGGGAAGGGCATATCACACACCAGGGCCCGTTGGGGGATGGGGAGGCTAGGGGAGGGATAGCATTAGGAGAAATACCTAATGTAGGTGACAGGTCAATGGGTGCAGCAAACCACCATGGCACATGTATACCTATGTAACAAAACCACATGTTCTGCACATGTACCCCAGAACTTAAAGTATAAAAAAAAAGAATGGGTCCGTTGGCTGCTGGCCATCAGAGAAATGCAAATCAAAACCACAATGAGATACCGTCTCACACCAGTTAGAATGGCAATCATTAAAAAGTCAGGAAACAACAGGTGCTGGAGAGGATGTGGAGAAATAGGAACACTTTTACATTGTTGGTGGGACTGTAAACTGGTTCAACCATTGTGGAACACAGTGCGGCAGTTCCTCAGGGATCTAGAACTAGAAATACCATTTGACCCAGCCATCCCATTACTGGGTATATACCCAAAGGATTATAAATCATGCTGCTATAAAGACACATGCACATGTTTGTTTATTGAGGCACTATTCATAATAGCAAAGACCTGGAACCAACCCAAATGTCCAATAATGATAGACTGGATTAAGAAAATGTGGCACATATACATTATGGAATACTCTGCAGCCATAAAAAATGATGAATTCATGTCCTTTTTAGGGACATGGATGAAGCTGGAAACCATCATTCTCAGCAAACTATCGCAAGGACAAAAAACCAAACACTGCATGTTCTCACTCATAGGTGGGAATTGAACAATGAGAACACTTGGACACAGGAAGGGGGACATCATACACCGAGCCTGTTGTGGGGTGGGGGGAGGGGGGAGAGATAGCATTAGGAGATATACCTAATGTAAATGACGAGTTAATGGGTGCAGCACACCAACATGGCACATGTATACATTTGCAACAAACCTGCATGTTGTGCACATGTACCCTAGAACTTAAAGTATAATAATAAAAAAAAATAATAATAAAAAGTAAGAATGCACTGTTAACCTAGCTTTGAACTGTTTATTTTTAGGGGATAAAATCTCCATTCTAATCTACCCAGACTCCCACCCATATATTTGAGTTTCAGAATGTCCTTCCAAAGTAGCAAACCTGAGGAAAATTTCTATAATGATTTCTTTTGTTATTTATGCATGATAGAGTCTATGATGTAGGAGTGGCTACATTACATCATACATTTCAAATTCAAAGAATCTTGATTACTCAAATTTCTCTTGGTGATGTCTGAATTCCACCTCTTACTGGCTTAGCTACATTTTACAAAGTTTCATCTCTTTGCAGTATTTTTCTTGGCTTGAAAATAATGTTTTGTTGTTGATTATGCAGAGATCACATTTTTTATTAATTATAACAATGTTAGTACCTAATTCATTAGCTAAATTCATAGGTCATGGTGCCAGCAAAGTTACTGCTAGTTCATAAAACAATGTTGTACAAAAAAAAAAGGCTACCACTGTTATGAAAACATACATTCACCATGACTTCGATAGTAGATAGCATTTTCACATAGGTTAAAGGGAGTGTTCTTTTATCAAGGTGGAGGCAGCCCTGAGCTCAGAAAACTGAGAGTGAACTGCATATTGCCTATCAACTCAGGGAGATGCCCATGTGCAGGACGCAACCTGTACAACTGTATGCTTTGGCCAGTGATCCTAAACTAAAAAATAAATGCTACAACAAAAGCAGGTTTGCTTTCACAAAGAAAAACGAACTCAGTCAGAGGCCGCTTTGCTGACCAGAATCAGCTACTTTGGAAGGGTTTACAATTAGTTATGTAAAAGACCAGGTGATGCAGGATTACACATGCATACATATATAATGTATGTATGCATGTGTGCATATATACATATATATAACAAAGTTAGATGGTATGCAGAGATATAGATATAATGGGGAAGTTCAACATATATCAGTCATGGAAGATCAGGGAAGAGATTGGTTCAGTGAGGATCAATATGTATGTGTATATGTGGGTATATTATATATATCTTTATGTCATATATATGATTTTCCCTATGACTAATATATATATATATATAGTGCATGTGTATATATGTGTGTGGGGGGGGTGTATATATATGTATATATTATATATTATATATTATACACCCACACACACAGTTGACCCTTGAACAACATGACAGGTTAGGGGTGCCAATCCCCTGCACAGTCAAAAATCCATAGATAACTTTTCACTCCCTCAAAATTTAACTACTTACTAATAGTCTTCTGTTGACCAAAAGCCTTACTGGTAACATAAACTGTTCATTAAATAAATGTTGTATGTTGTATGTATTCTATTACTGCCTTCTTATAATAAAGTAAGCCAGAGGGAAAAACATGTAATTAAGAAAATCATAAAAATGAGAAAATATATTTATTATACTTTAAGTGAAAGTGGACCATTAGAAAAGTCTTCATCTTCATCATCTGTACAATGAGTAAGATGAGGAGGAGGAGGAGGAGGAAGAGGAGGGTTTGGTCTTGCTGTGTCAGTAGTAGCAGAAGTGGAAGAAGATCCATGTATGTAAGTGAACCCATTCAGTTCACTCTCATGCTGTTCAAAAGTCAACTACATGTAGATTGTGTGTGTGTATACACACCAGTCATGGGAAGGATCAAGGAAAAAAATGTGGATCAGTATATATACAGTGTGTATATACATATACTGTATATACACTGTATATATATATATATATATATATATATATACTGATCCACACTTATGTACTGATACAATTGTCTTGTATGTATATATGTGTATACATATATACTGATATATACTGATATACCTATATATGTATATATACTATATATACTGATCCACATGTATATACTGATCCACATTCTCTTATATGTATATGTGTGCATACATACAGATTTATACTGGTATACATATAGGTGTATATATGCATATATACTGATATATATCAGTATATTTATATGTACATAAATATATGTATATACTAATATGTATATATGCATATGTGTACATATATACTGACATATATGATATAACGTCATATGTATGTATAGATATACATATGATGTATATGTATATATACACATATATACATGTATATATACTTATATATATCTGATATATACACTGATATATGTATTATATATCCATATACATATAAGAGAATGTGAGTCAATATATACATATATGTAGATACTGATATATATACACATATGTATATCTATACTGATAGATATATATACATATATATCCATACTGATACATATATACATATATATTTCAATGTATACACAGTCTAAAGACTCACTACTAGAAAAAAGGGTCAAATAATATTTTCTGATTCATATCACATGGCATTCTTTTTATATGCAAGACATGGTTTCACTGGAGATTTGGTTAAAGAAATTTTCTTTCTTGGGTCTCAAAGACTGAAGAACCAGTTAATGACAGAGGCGTCTGTCACATTGGTAGCTCTATAGAATTTCAGGATTATTCAGCCATGTGGAGTGGCATGTGGAAAAGACATTTGCTCTCTGCAATCAATAGCTTTTACATTGAATGTAATATTTCTTTTTGTTTAGAAATATTACGTTGAATGTAAAAGCTATTGATTACAGGCAGAAATATACTTACCAATTACTGCCTTAAAGAAGAATACAAAGTGCTCTCCAGCTAAAGTGGCTACAGCTGGTGGCATACAATAACCCACCACGCCGGTGTTTCTCAGCTCACATAGCATATCAGAGAGGTTCCCGATTCTTCTTAAACAAATGCCTACATGTTTATTTTTTCTTTCAGGTTAAAATCCATGGTAGAGTTTCAGCAAAAATAAATAGGAAAATGTGAGGCAGGGATGCCTGCCGAGAAACTGGCAGTCGAAAGAGCCTGCTATATAATCAACTAAGGCAGTTAGTGGCTTTTTACGGCTTCAAAGCTGCACTTTTTCAGAGGTTGAATATTTTAGCCCATGTGCTCTGCCCACAATTTACAAGAATGCCAAGGACACTGGAATGTTGCTTTGGTAAACAATAACTTTAAATATTGCAGTTGATCTAAACCACCTTTCAGCTTTACATTCGAATGAACACATACAAATATGCTCTCCTGGATTAACAGATTCTGTGGTCTATTTACACACCTTCAATCAACCCACCATCTTTGCACTCTGTAATCAGCCTACAGTGAGCAACCTCACCGCTTACTGCCCTTCTCTTTGGGAGAGAAGAAAAATCGCCTCCCGTTCTCAGTATCCACCTTATTTATTGCCTTTCCAAGCTGCAAATTTTTTTCTCAGTTGGTGTTTCATTTCAATGTTGTATACTTTTGGCAGTGCCATTATCAACTCCCCAGAGAATATAACATGTCTGAGAGAAGGGCAGGGCTACCCAAAAAAGACAAGAATGAATAATCTAAAATTACTATGCACCCACCCTTGGGCTAGCCCATGACTAATTTCTAACTAACAAGCAACTCTTTCAGATTCCACTGTGTTTGTCACACACTGCATTTCAGCCCAGATATTTCTCTCACCACTCATTTTCTCTCTGGCACAAACTAATTGCTGCATGCAGCAGCCAGGCTCTGAAGACTCAAAGGGCATGGAGCTATGGAAACCTAACAGATAATAAATAAATAATTTTTAAAGAAGTCCTCTTAACACAGAAACCATCATCACTCCCCTACTACGCATTAGGGGCAGTGGTGGTCTACCCTATCCCACGTCTTCTCAGAAGCAAATAAATCCTTTTCCACCTCTTAGGAGCTAAGTATTAATGCATCAGAGATGTCCTTACTTGCCATCTGGCTTTCTGACAGGCTTTGGGTTTTAAATCAAGCATGAAGCATGAAAAGTTGTAAATATCAGAAATCTGACAAAGCACTCTTTTAATATTTGTAAGTTTCATTTACTTAGACAAAATGTTGGATAAATGAAATCAGGACTTCAACACATCTCCTGTGATTTATACTGACTTTTATTTCCTGTCTCAGAAATTTCTCTGCTCTTAAACAATTTCTACGTCATAAGATGAAAGAAGTTTCTTAGAAATTGTTGTTCAATTCAGACCATTATGAAAAGACATTTTAGATCATTAAAAGGTTTATATATGACATATGAAGAAAGAAAACAGAAATGAACTATTAAACTTATACTGAAGAGATAGGCTAGTAATAAGAAGTAGATTTATTCTAGTGTGGAAAAAACTAATACACCACAGCAGCTAAGCAATATTCATTTTTATGGCATAGTATACAAAATATATAAACCATTTTGTTTGAGATAGAGATTGACCAAAGGAAATATTATCCTCATGGTTTTTCTCTACACAAGTAATAATTTTTAAAGTGAAAAAGCAGGTCTATAAGCCAGTAGAAATATCAAACTATCTTCCTGAAAACTACTTTAAAAAAATCTAAAACCTATTTGTAATACATACAAAAAAATGGGAATTACTTTGTAAGCTACTCTCGCCACCCCCTTTGTCCTCAGACATTGCAATTTCACTGAAGAACAACAACAACAAAAAAAGCAATTTTTAAAATGTTTCCAGTGAGTCTTCTAAAGCAGGAATCTTCTAAAATCTCCAAAAAGATTGAGGTTTTGAAATACTTTTATCAACTTTTAAGATTGGAGATGTTATACACACAGACCAGCTTTGGGACACTATTATGAATTTAACTGATTTGAAAGAGGCTCATCAGCTATAGACTGGGAGTGTCTGTTTCCAGAGATGCGATTGCATTTTCAGCAATGATTTCTACCAGTTACCTACCATGCACTGCTTATTAAATACAAAACCCATTGCCCTGAAGAATCTGTTCACAATCTCTGCAACAGTGGCACCTGCAGAGGGGAGCTCCAGCCACTTGAAACTCATTAAAACATACTTGAGATTGACAATGAGTAGAGAACATCTGTCAGACTTGGCCAAGATTTCAATCAAATGTGATGTTGCCGTGTTACTTGACTACATTGACTTAATAAATGAGTTGGCTGCTGTCAGCACAAGACAAGTTGGGTTGTAATTACTATCCTGTCCTCCTTTTTTCTGAAATATTCTTTCACTTAAATACTCCTGTTCTATGTGAATGTATGAAAATGGAGTTGATGGAATAATATACCATTTACAAAAGAAATATAAGGTACATTTTTAGCTTACTGAATTTACCAATGTGACCATATCTTTTAATTAGCTTGTGTGTCTATACACACCCTTGAAAGGTAAATAAAATCACACTCATCTTTACTCTCTGGAAGTGTCTTCAACTACACATTTGGAAGAATGGCACCTTCACTTTGATCTCTAGATTGAATGGCTATAATAAATGTCCCTATGTGTAAGATTTGGGAAAATAGAAAAACACTTCTAATTATCAAAGAGCTTTTGATCTTCAATAAATAATACCTTATCCTATATAGCATTTAAAGCCTTATGTTTATATTTCACATTTAATCCCATAGCAATCCATTTTGCAAATGACTAAATGAAAACTCAAAGACATATACCAATCTATCCCAGTGACATAATTACTAAGCAAATGAATCCAAAATCCAACTCTGAGTCTTGAGCTTTTCCACTAGGTTGCATTTGCTACATTTGCCTTTTAAAAATGTTTGCTTGAGGGATCAAATTAAGTACAAGACGTTAGCTCTGACCACTGTTATTTCAAGGGGATGGAAAGTAACAATTATTTCTGCTGACAGGATAGCACCATCTGCTTAAAGACAGAAGGATATGAGCACCAGTCTTAGAAGCCTGACAGGCAAGCTCAGCAGCGTTTACAAAAAAATGATCACAGCTCAATGAACACAAGGCTGGACTTAGAACAGAACTAATTCTAATCTCTTCATCTGATGCATTGGGATATCCTATTACTAGGCCTGGTGATTTTGGGCTCACCAACTAGTGGAGATGAGCCTGCAGGTGCTTGGGAAAATAGAGGCTCGTCATCACCAACTACATACATGAGTCTATTAATGGGATAGACTCCCTCTAGTTTGGTGGTGTCCACTCAGATAGGGAGCATAGGTGTCTTACAGTGAAAACAAGGGTGTCTCTTCACAAATTAAACTTTTTCCTTCACAGGAAGAGCATTTACCCAGATTAAAAGCCTACTGTTTGAACATTAATAATACTTTCAACTTAATTTTTCTGAATTTTTCTTTTCACCCATTCCCAGTAATTAAAACTCTACACTGACCCACACTTAACTGGCATGGTCCCCAAGTTTGAGAAATAGTGAGCTTCAATTTTTATTACTTCCATTCATTTACAGCTTAAACCCACTGAAACTCAGGTTTTAATTTCATTCTAGTAATCAGCCTGCAAACACTCAGTAATTACATCAAGTTTGTCTCATAAATAGGGTGTTTTTGTCTAAGGACTGTACACTACAGAAAGTCAAAGTAGTTGCAAAATTAGCATCACCATGATTGAGATAAGCCACATAGCTAAGATTATCATAGTGTTAGTAAAAATAGGTTAGCCACATATAAATGTGTGAATTCTCCCTCCTCTAAACTTCCGTAGCATTGTTTTTTTGTTTTTTTTGTTTTTTTTTTTTTTTTGTCTCTCTTGTAGCATGTATCACTTTCTACCTTGTATTATGGTTATTTGTATGCAGGTTTTCTCTCTTCTATATTAAGATAGTAAATTATTTTTTTGTTTCCCAAGGACTTAACAGGGTGCCTTGCACATAGTTGGCACTCATTAATTAAATGTTAATAGATAGAACTCTAAAAGTAACCAGATAAAGAAAGCATTAATGTTTAGAAGATACTTTGATTAAAAAATATATTTGACTTTTGAATATCTGGTCTCTGCTTTTCTCATCTTCTCCCCCTATGGGAAGCCTCCACTACACCTATACACACATCTACTCATATGCACACACCAACTCCAGCATGCTCCATCCTTAATGAATTTCTTTTGCTTCAACATTAGAATTCTTCTAATGTTGTTGTTACTTGGCTCCAAGTAATTCACGTAAAATTAATGTATAATTTGAGCATTAGTCTAATTCCTAATACCCACTCCCATGCCAATTCTCAAGTTAGCGATCCTTCCTTCTGGAAGCTTTCCTCAAGCCTCTAAAACCATCCCACTATATCTTGTTGCTTCTTCTGTCGAGCACGTGTCATACCGTTTTAGTTTCCTCTACACTGGCTGATCAGCTGATGCGAATGGGTCTGTGAGATGAGGGCTGAAGCTAGGGTCCTTTTCCAAGGAACTCAGGGCAAACAGATCCAATCCAGAAATGGGCCCCAAAGTATTCTGTGTAAATGGCCTCTTTTTGAACTGGTGGACATTTGATATTTGTGTAAGACTAGTCGATTCACAGGACTAATGGCCCAGCCAACAGTAGCAATGCTGTTTTTTTATGTGTTCTATGAATACAGATCACAGAGAACAGATTTTACAAGTAATTTTATGAAGCTTTTCAGTTTAAAATGAATAAAATACCATAAAATATACATCCAATGACTTAACTGGTAATATATGGTAATTTATTTTTACTTTTTAGTAACAGCCTTCTGTTCATTCATGCTGAATACTGGAGGGAATGGTGATAACTTCTTTCTGAGGTAAGGGAAGAGGTGGAGGGTCAGAGTAGACTGCAGAGGAGGTGACATATTGGTTGAGTTGGACTTAACCAAATTGAAAAGGGGAGAAAGTTCATTTCAGACAGAGCAAAAAGCATAAGCGAAAGTATAGAGACATGAAAATGTATGCATGACTAGAAAATTATGGCTCATCTGTTAAATTCAGTGTATGAAAGGTATGTGTGGCAGTAGTTGTGTGTATGCAGGAGATGAGGTTAGAAAGGCAGACTGAGATGAGATTATAAATAGTCTTGAACACTACACAATGGGATTTGAACTTAATTCCATAGGTTGGGAGGAGTCATAGCCAGTTTCCTAGCAGGACGACACATAACCCTATCTGTGACTTAGAGAAACAACTTTGGTGACAAGATAATGAATGAGTGAGATAAGAGAAAGGTTGGAGGCCAGAAGATCTAGTTGGGATGCAATTTCTATGATTTGAGTAACCAAGTTCAAAAATTTAAGAACTGCATATCTGCAAAGTTCAATATAAATGTTAATTTAAAGGTATTATCTCAATATGGTTGAATTCAATAACCTTTAAGGAAGCAGATATTGAGGCAGGCTTTTTGTTGTTGTTGTTACTTGGCTCCAAGTAATTCAGGTAAAATTAATGTATAATTTGAGCATAATGACCAAATCCACTAATGAGCTGGTTGCAGGCTTTGTGTTCCTAACCTTAAGAATATGAATTACAGTTGCAACTGAAAGAAAAAGACCAAAACAATGTCAGACCTGCTGGGATGCAGTAAGGACTGTAACTCACAAAAAAAAAAAAAAAGGAATTTTTTTAAAACTAAATACATAGAAAGCCATACTTAGTCAAAATTGGGATCTAATTGAAATCTACATGTGGCAGTGTAATGTTGTTATTGAGATGAAGTTTATGGTCAAAGAAGAAATATTGCAAGATTTATTTTCAAGTCAGTTACAGATTTATAACTTCTATTTAACTAAATTACTTTGTATCAGAATCCCAAAGAAATTCTGATGTGGTTAAATCCATGGGAAATTTCATGGAGTGAGACAGATTTTTCTTTCTACCTACTACCCTTGCAAGAGCATGGCCATGGTGCCAGAAAGGGCATGTGATACTCCAATTTGAATCAAAGAAAAAGACATTTCTGTTAATGTCCAGACATTTCCAGACATTTCTGTTAATTTTTAAATAAATTTCACTAAATTTCTCTGGTTGTGGATCCATTTGAGTATGACATACAGGAGTTTTAAATATTTTTATTCTTAATAATTGAAACATTTTCCATATAATTAACTCTTAAATCTGTTTCTTGGTCAGAATGGATCAAGACAGAGAGCCACCAAACCAAAAACAAATCTTCTTTTATTTGTATAACACCATATGAAAAACTACTTACCCCAGGAATTACTCAATCCTGGCTGAAGGAGGTAAAGAAGTATGTCATCATAGCACCTTGCCCATGTTTCAGATAACTTTGTTATTAAAGATGAAATATTAATGCAAACTCACTTCAATGAATTGTGGGTCATAACTGACTGAATATGCCATTTTGATTGTGTTTTCTGAATGAATTAAGCCTATGTTGTATTTTTGCCTCAATAGTCTCTACCATCTTGGGCCATAAGGCCCAGGCCTGTGTAAAATCTACTCTTGATACCTGCCGTAGGTATTCGATTCATCATTTCATCATTACTTGCAACACAAAAGGTAGCATCTCTGAAGCAATAACAACTGCAACTGCAGCCCATTTATGGGTCATAGTAGTAGCCAATAAAGTGACCCATTAATAAAAATAAAGTTAATTAATATTTTTTGACTGATTCCTATGAACCAGGCATTTCTTTAGTTGTTAGGAAATGTGGCAGTGTGAATAGAATAAAATCTCTGTTCCAGTGGTTTATAATGATAAGGACAATGGGAAAAATAAAAGCCGTTTGGGCATGCTGTCTTAAATGAGTGGTCGGGCTGCCTCTCACTGAAGGTAACAGTTGACTAGAGATGTGAAGTAAACATTTGGAAGAAAAGTGTCCCAAGCAGAAGGAAGAGCAAGCACAACGACTCTGTGACAATATCATATTTGATGTATTCAAGAAACAGCAATTGGGCTAATAAAGCCAGAGAAGAGTGTTCAAGAAAGTATGGTTAGGAATGAACTGGAGAAGAAGTCAGGGATATGATTGTATTTTGTCTTATAGATTGCGGTGAAGACTGGATTTCATTATCTTTAGACAGGAAGCAATCAGAGGGTTTTGAGCAGAGAAATGGTGTCATATATTCCTTCCATTTATCCATGATAACCCAATTAATTCAGCAGGCTTCTTTACCCATTAACAGGAAACTGATCATATCCCACATTCAAGAGCTGAAAGGATATCTTTAGCAAAAAAAGGTGTTGTTAATAGATGGTTTACTTTTTCCTCCCATCTCCCTTTTTGAAGCAAAGTGTACACCAAAATCAGAGTTTGACAAAACTTGTCAATTAGTAGTGACAAAAAAGAAACAGAGCCCTTGCTTCATTCATATATGGGAATCTGCTGGGAAACGGGCAACATTGCAGTGTGAATGTCTTGTTTGTCTTCCAGTTACTCTGTCGTGTGGTCCAAGCTGGTTCCCCCAACTCCTTAGAGGAACCTAAAGAGGAGCAACAGCAGAGCCAAGGACAATCAGTACCCTAGAAGACTAGAAAAGAACTAAACTAAACTAACAGAACTAAACATCCCATAAGGAAAGAAGAAAAAAAAAAAAGTTCATAAGAGGCAGCATGTTTCTAACCCACCCTGAATATATGAAGAATCTCAGGCCTGCATTTGAAAGACTATTATACTGTAGGGAACTGGGGAAAATTCTAAAGAATGGAAGGGTCATTCTGGAACTTTCACATAGACCCTTTTTCCCCCACCCAAGTTAACACTGAGTTAAAGGATCATTTGCCTGAATTCCCAGTATGTGCTCGACCTGTCAGCATAGGAACCTGTAATAAGGTACTACCCTGCCCCTCTCTTCCACCAATACAGGTATGGTACTAAGCTTATACTCAAAACTGAAAACTTCTTACTGTTTTTCTCTTCCCATATTAAAAATAAATAAATAAATAAGGCTAAGAAACTAAGAAACATGGCTGAGTGAAAATGTTTCCTGGAGCTAAGTAGGGTCATATTGAGGAACTGATCAGGGTGGTGAGCCATAGTTGATTGAATGAGGGCTCTTCATCTGCTTCAACTAATGAAGCTAGACTTCTTGGAAGATCACGCACTTTAGATATATAAATAACAAAGACATTTAGTGTAAGTTTAAAGGACCAGATAAAGGAACCAAAAGAGAAGAAGTTTGTTTCTTAATGGAAGTAAACAAAAAGATCATCAGGCAATAATGCAGGTCATATAAACCATACAGACTAGATGAGGATTATAAAGGGAGTAAATAGTTTAACACTAAGACAAAATTTGGGGGGATTTTTAGAAAAGAGAATAAACTGGTTTGGCTTCAGTGAATGCAGTTTAGACAAGCTTTAGAAATTACTTTGTCAGCAAAATGATTTTGCCTCTTTCTAAAGAAGCAATGCACAAAAGAAAATAGAAGACTCTTGCTGAGGCAAATTTTCACCTAGTCCCAGGATCCAGGCTGAGAAAATGTTATGAAAATCAAATGTATTTAGAGGCAAAAATATACTGTACTATTTTCTAAAGTGGGCCAGGACTATACAACACAATCCACTAAAAAATTTTGAAATGCTGTAAGAATTCTCCAAAGAGCCCAGTGGTCTCCCTCAGAGAATCACCATGCCTCTGGGAGAAAACATGTTCCAGTGAGTACAATTACTGCATTTGCTCAGGGAAGACTCTGAAGCAGTTTTTTTCCAGCCATGTGGATGTATTCTCTAGCAGACCGACCCACTGGGCCTGCATGCTACAGTTGGAGGGAATCTCAAAGGCCTCCTGCTCTTCTTCTTCTTGTGTAATTGGGACAAGATCTCTGTTGTGACCTGCTGTGACATTCTTACTCCCACAGTATTTAAGGTTGGAACTACCTCTTCACTAGGCTTTTAAGAAGCCAGTCAAGAGTTTTCCTTCATCCATCAGATTTCGCTGCCAGTACATGTGAGTAGTTGCCAGTTATTTGGGAACAGAAACTGAATGCCCCTGAGACCTCAAGACGGGGTAACATATTTTTAAAAATAAAATAAATAAAAAACCACATACTTACATTTAATTACAAAAACATATACTTAAAACAACTAAATAATTAGGAACAAATTAAAAATTAGAAATTGGCAAATAAACATCCGCATCATCCCAGGGCCCATGGACCACATCTATTCCCTTTTCTACACATTTGTCAGTGATAATATGCCTGGCATCAAATAACACTGATATTCAAATCTCCACTTTACAAGTGAAAATCAAGAATTTTTTCCACTCAACTTTTCAGAATCTTGATTTGCCACTTTCAAGAAATTGCCATCTTCTTGTCCCCTTCTTCACTATATGTAAAACAAAATTTATAAATTTGGCTAACGTCAAAATGCTCTGACAAGGATTGATGACAGACATCCCCACAGGGCATTTCTCCATATAAATTATTATGTAAATTCTTGAAAATATAAGTTTGTATAAATAAATATAAAGAAGAGATTCAGATTTATTGACTTTCTTTCATTATTTATTTATGCGGCATCCAAAATTAGGTGAGTTTGATGAATTTAATGTTTCTGCTCCCTAAATATACGCTATAAAATTGGGTGATTTGGTGGTGAAATACTATGCATGCATTTTTAATGTAATTTTTTTAAAAGTTGTGGCATATTAGGATCATTTTTCCCTACTCCATGAGTTTGCTTCACTTCGAACTGAATATTTGTTTTAAAATTACCTGACCTGCCTGATATATAAAAGTCATGATTTTTAAAGCCTATGTTAACAGTGCATATGGAGTGAGTACAAATATAATTATAAATGTAATTTTAATTCTATTCTCTTTACTGGGCTATAATATCTGTGAGTAATCTATTCCAAAATCAAAGATCAACCCAAATCCCTTTTACCAACTCTGTGCCTGTTTTCTAAGTATTTATTTAATGTCATTGTTCAGTGAGGGACCTAGAGACCTTTCACTTTAGGTGGAAAGAAAATGCAAATCTGTTAGTTATTTGCTAAGGTTCCTAAGGATACTGGGAACACACAGACACTTGCAACTGTGAATTTCCCAGTAAATATAAAATCTTTGTCTTCTGGAATATTTGCTTAACTGAACAAAGTTTACACAGCCTGAAGAGGATTAACATTAACAATAACACAAAATTAAACCTTTGACATTCCTTCAGTTCATTTCTATGGTTATCTTCTCTTTTCTCAGATCGATTTTCCCCAACTCTATTATTTAAAAAAAGAAAAAGAAGATCTGACAGCATTCACTGGACCTTCCAGGCATTAATTATTACGGTTACATTTATTTCTCTCCTACATTTATTTCTTCAGGAATATTTTATTTAGTATTTAAAATGGGCCAGATACTGTCCTTCATACTATAGACACAATGATTAAAAAAAAGAAACTATTCTAGCCTCTGAGATTTTATATTTCATGAGTGGGAGACATAAATACATGAGCTATAAATTGCAAATAAAACATAATATATGCTACACAAGTGCCATGTGAGTGTAAAGGAACTATCAACTCTGGTGGAGGAAGTCTAAGAATTCATGAAGGGGATAAAATCTGAGCAGGTTTTAAAGCATCAGTAAACATTAGGTGGTCCAAAATTTAAAAAAAAAAATTCAAGCAGACAATAGAGTTTATACAAAAAATGAAGGTTCAGTATTATGTATTTGATGTGCCTGGAGTTTAGAAGCAATGGAAGAACAAATGAAGTGGCAGGAAATGAAGCTATAAGTATTTTTGTGGCATCAAGATTACCATGTTGAGAATCATTAGTGTAGATGTAGCCTAATTGATTTAAGCATTTCCCTTTTGTTTGAGCATTTAGAGTATTTCCAATTTTTCCCAAATAGTAAGCTGAGATGAATGCCCTTTGGTATATAACTTTGATTATATCTTTAGCTAGTTTTTAAAGATGAGATTGTCAGAAATGAAATTAGTGAAGTAAATGGTATATTCACTTTAAGTGTCTTGCTGCATTTGCCATATTTATTTCTAGAAACATGCCAATTTACCATCAATATGCAAGAGAAACAGCCTCACTGTTTCCTTTGCCAGAACTGAGTATCACCACTTTTAAAAATATTTGCTAATTGTATGAGTGGAAAATGAGATTAGATCTTAGAGCATGATGAATATCAGGGCCAGGAGTTTGGATTTAATTAGAAAGTTAAGGAGAAACTCATTGATGATTTTTAATCAATGGAGCAAAATATCTAGATTAGCCCTTTGAATAGATTAATTTTGGCAGAAAGAAAGGGGTAGGATAAGGTGGGGTTGGCTTTACTTGAGAACCCACACAGTCTGGGGCGCAGAGAGGCTGTTATAACAATATGGGCCAGCACTGCCCAGGAGAACTTTCTGAAATAACAGAAATGTTCTGTATCTGTTCTGTCCAATACAGTAACCACAAGCCACATGTTGCTTTTAAGAACTTGAAATGTAGCTAGTACAACCAAGGACCTGAATGTATAATTTCACTGAATTTAAATTTAAATAGCCATATGTGGCTAATGACTGTCTTAGTGGGCAGCACAGATCTAGAACAATAGGGACTCAAGATAGAAAACATCCAGGTAAAAAGATAAGAGCAAAATCAGACTTAGTGAAAAGATTCTGTGACTACTTGAATGTGCAAGGAGAAGGAGAGGGAGAAGCCTGTCTGATCAAGATTTAGAATCAGAGGGAACTGAAAGATGGTCATGTCACTTATAGGGACTGCAACACAAAAAAGCTCAGAAGAGGTAATGAGGAAGGGACGGAAAGTTTCTCTCTCTCTCTCTTTATCTCTTTCTGTGTCTCTGTTCTTTCAATAGACAGCTCTGAAACTTGTCAGCAGGCCATTGGAAATGACAAAAAGATTTAAACTGACCAGGAACCATGGCTTCATGCTTTTCCTAACTGTATTGATCTATATAAAACTGATAAGCTGTTGGATCTTAACCTATATATCAAAACTACAAATACAAGCTGATACTTCTCACTGTCAGAAACTCTTACGAAAAGAAAACTGTCCTTAACACCATGGAAAACTAACAGATTCTCAAAAGTAAGATAAAGCATCCTGCCTACACAACTTAACGGCAACATCTATTTGTGAGACATTATGGGTCAAGCTGTAACGGTAACTATGTTAATAAAAATGTTAAGTGTAAATGTAATGTAAAAGAACACAATTTAATGAGGGTTGAGACCCAGCCAAGCAAGTAAATGTTGTATAAATAAAACAAAACAATGGCATCAGGCTATTAATTAAATCTATGCTGATGGATCAACTATGAAGGAGAGTGAAAGGAATTCGTTCTTCACATCAATATTTGCATGACGGATTCTTTCTCAACTTTAAAGTCTCAGCTTAAATTCAGCTCTTCAGAGACAGCTGAATCTTTATGCTTATTTTCCTGCAGTTACTTTTAATATAACCATTGTTCTTATTCACAACACTTGATGTATTTTTATTTATTTGTCTACTTATTGTCTGTCTCTCTGTAAATGCTACAATCCATAAAATTCTGGTTTATTAACTAATGTTTATCCAGTATCTAGGGCAGCATCTGTCATATAGGAGGTGTTCAGTGATTTCTGGAAGGATAAGTGAATGAATAAATGAATGCACAGTGTCTTTTACACAAATGAACTGAAGATCCAGTGGACTGATATTTCACTAAGATCAAAATGAGCCTGCAGAATTCAGCCAAATGTATTCTCACTTCAGGGATGCAAGAACAGGCCTTGCAGGTGCAGTACAGCCAGCTGATAGTCTTGGTTCTAGAATATCATTCAACCAGGGAGAGCCTCATCTCATCTCCAGCATAGACCCTATTGATATGAACAATTATCCAACTCAGCAAAACCAATGAGCCCCTGGAATAAATAGGACCTTCTTTCCAAGACAAAATAAGTCTTAAACTTGCCAGTTATCAACTTCAAAGAACACAGACTGATCCTGAATATGCGAGGTGAGCATAGACAAAATACCCCTGACTCTGTAATTTATTGATAGCATTTTATTCACACCATTACCTAAGGTAAGGTTTCTTCCTAGTTCATCAAGATCATAGTAAGTCAGACGCAATTTTCATGATCATTATAAGAGAGAGAGAAAGTGTACGTGTTTGTGTATATATGTCAGAATAGACATTTCTGATCTTCTAAAAACATAAATTCCCAAACCATTATTTTGTCTTATGCCTTAAAAAGCTTTGTAAGTGCGGCAGCAGTGTTTCCTTTTTGGTGTGAGAAAGTAAGAAGGAAAAACAGCCGCCCCTGACATTTGGAAGCTGATCTGACCCGGCAGCTAGGTCTCGATGTTATTACAAGCTGGTCTGATGCTCACAGTCAGGCCATTTTGTTCCTCTGTTGGACATACATTGTTTCACAGAACATCAACATTAAACAAGGTTGTTGTGAGACCATAATAAATTGAGACCAAAACAAGTTAACTGCACAACCCACAAAACACAAAATGTCCCCTCTCTCATTAAATGAGTGACTGCTACTACTTCTTGACCAATTACACTGTTGTCCTCTCTAGTCTGCCTTCTCTATAAATAAGATTCACTGACACTCATTCATAGAATTTCTTTGCTTTCTGACAGAGTAAGTTCCCACTTCCTTAGATCCTCTCCAAATTTACCCAACCATAACTCAAATCTTGGAAGTCCTAACTCCCCCTTACTGAAATGACCCATAGTTTCTGTCAAAGAAAAGTTGCACCAGATGGAATTAAACAGGCAAGGAAGATTTTATTCAAGACTACTGCAAAAGAGAGAGGGACTGAACTCAGTCTGCTGACACAAAAGGCAGAAGAGATGTTAAGCACCAGGGCGAGCTAGTGGAAAAGCACTGGAGGACATGGGAGGGAGGTGGGTCACTGTGACTAGGCCATCTCTGTTTGCTAGTTGGCACTTATTACATGTAAGCTTCTGATTCCCACAGAGAATAGGAAATAAGGTATTCTCTCTTTCTTGATGATTACATTTCAAAGGGATGTCTTCCAAGTCCTTGAAAAAGACATTTATGGGTTGTAAAACTGGCAAGAGGCTGAGAGAAGATTGACTTCTTGAAGGGATAGAGAAAGCACTTATAATTGCAAGTTTTCTGAAGTAGATGCTCTGAGACAGGGAGGTCAGGGACCCACAGTCAGGAAGAAATCTGTCTAAAGTTTAGACAAACTAAGGGGAACTTTGAGGTCATCTCGGTCAGTCCCCACGATGTGTATTCTCTCTCACTGCAATTAGTACACAAAAGTTGTTCAAATATAAATGTTTTCCTGGTGGTCGTTAGCTGAAGGGCATTGACATAGGCAAAAGAAAAAAAAAGGAAAAGAAAGAAAGAAAAAGAAAAGAGTAACTGGAAAAAAATCACAGTTTGTTTCCAACTTATGGCTGATTAAATACATTCTTCTCAAATTAGAGAGAAATTTTCTCTACTCATATTTATACAGCTTCTTGGTACTTTGGTGAATCCATTTCAAGTAAGAAGAAATGCATGCTTCCGTGTGCTATGCCTGTATCACATTAATGGATTATTTGCTGAGATAATATTTGGCTCTGAAATCATGAAAACATCAGATGTTCCAGGATATCTATCAAATTTTACAGTACCTATCTAGGTGTCATTCTTTCCTGGTGGTCACTGGTAGGGATGTGACAATGTCCTAACATCCTAAATTCTTGTTAAGTGCCTCATAACTCCAATTTATAATAACAAAATATCTAAGACCATGTTGTACTTAAGGGTTTAAAATGCAACAGTGGGATTTTGGACTTTTAAAATACCCAATTAATTGAGTATCTCCAAAACTGAGTGAAGAGAGTTTCAGTTTCTTTGTATTGCCCCATTTTTTCATAATGTTAATATATAAAATTTTAGAAACCATAGACAAACAATTGTTTAGATTTAGGTCAGTTTTCACAAATGACAGCCTGCAGGCTAAGTCAAGCTCATGCCTGTTTATATAAATGAAGTTTAAATGGAACACAGCTATTCTCATTCATTTATGTACTATAGATGGCAACTTTTGGACAATGATGACAGAGGAGTAGCTGTGGCAGATCATTAGCCTACAAAGCTCACAGTATTTAACCTGTATAATCTGGCCCTTTACATAAAAAGTTTGCCAAACCCAGGTCTAGGTTAACAAGTAGCAAAATAATTTTCCAGAAAGCCTAGTTAAGTCTTTTTAAAAATATACAATCAGCAAAATTACGTTTTCTGTCTCACGTTGCAACACACAAAATCTCTTAACTTCCCATTTTGTGCCAATAGTCTACACATTAATGCACACAAATGATTATTATCTCATTTAACTCCGCTAAGACCAAGAGAGTGTCAGTACCATCTTTAGAACATTACTTTTCTGGTTGTATTGAGTAAGGCTAACAGAAAATGAAGAAACAGCAGCGTTTACACACTCCACATCGCCTGTTCTGTGCTTTTATCCCATATTTTTTCCCAGCCTACCACCTTTATTTTTGTTTATTAAACAACTACCATCAAGTTTTGCAATCACTCATGGTTTCTCTCAGATTTACCAAAAACAAAGTGCTAAAGGCATCTATTTTAAAATCTTGATATGGCTTTCAGCATAGCATTTTAGGTGACATTGCAGACCAAATTCTTGCCCTGGATTTGCTGAATTGCATATTCTGATTTCTCACTCAGCAATATGTGAGAAAGAAGCAAATGTCAAACACAGTCTGTGATATCATACGGAGGGAGTAATGTTAGCCAACACCTCTCTAAAATGTTTATTCTCTAATGAGAACACAAGAGGAAGAAAAGTCCTGATGGGCTAACCTTCCACATCTGTAATGTTAGAATCAGTAGAAGTAGGTGTACCTGAACTAGCACTGTTTTGAAGGCTATTTTTCTAAGCAAAATTTTAGGATAGGACGTTTCCCTAAAATTTTCAGGATGACTATGGGTTCTGCCCCCTGACATTCTTCATTCCCAACTCAAGGGAAAAACTCAGTGAAAGCCTTTTAGCTTATCCCTATGAAAAGTGAAACTCTGTGACACCATAGGTAGAAAGGAAATAAAACGTGTTGCTCAGGGCCCCTATGCTGGAGAATGGACCCTTGGTGAGAGAAGGGTAAGGGACAGTTATTTTCTTCCTCCCTGTTCTTGCTCTTCATATTACTCATGTGGTACTATCTCAGATGGCATTGAAAGTGAAGGCCTAAAGAGAAAGGGGTCCAAAACTATCTGCTCTAGGCATTCAGGGAGAAGAACAAAAGGTGGAATCAAGGTCTGACCAAGATCCCCCGTGCTGCCAGGGCATGGGTGCTGGGTGCCAGCAATCTACCATTTGCCCATTCAGATCCACCCTCCACCCTTCTCCAGGGTCTCCCCTGCTCCAGGAGCCTGCCCGAGCATATGCACTACATGAAACGGAGACTATGAGGGCTATCATGCAGAGGAAGTAGAGAGCTATCATCAGATGCAAACTCTACTTGTTACTTCAAGGCTATCATGTATAAAATGAAGAGTCCTGGCAGGAGAGAGGAGAGAAAGATCGGACCAGATCATGGAGTCTGGGTATTTGTTCTCCCGGTTCCCTGCCAGGTTGCCTCAGATTGGCTCTAAACTAACTTCAACCTAAGGTTAAACTCCTTTTAACACAGCTACTTACACGGCCTCCTCCTTCCAGGTGCTAGTAATTGTCTCCTCCCTCCTCCCTTCAGGCCTGAAGATGGTAAGAGGACCACTGCGTTAGTGCCTGAGTGTTACACTATCCCATGTACTTTCTCTACTCCCTTCCCACACCTTTGCAAGTAGTATCTTTATCAAACCTTCTTTGAGTTGCCCTAATTTTAGTGGGCCATTTTGGACCCTGACAGGGGGTCACAGGTCCTAAATAATAAAGAATATTCATTTGCCTGCATTGTGCCTTTGAACATATATTCTCTAAGAAACAAAGGGGCAATAGTGTGTGGTTTGATAAGAAAGTAGACAATTTTCAACCTTTATAAGCAATTGATAATAATATTCATATTTAGAATTTATTAGATTATATTCTCTATACCCCCTGAATTATTTCAGAAGTAACTTTGATGTTTAGGGAAACAGTTTATTCCCTACAGAACCAACGAAGCTGCTATAACATCCATGGTGAGAAGAAATTGACTAATGCAAGAACTAGGCACAGGAAGAACACTGTGAACCACCATCTTGAAAGAGGTGCCACAGTTAGCCATGCTTAGCTTTTCTGTGCTAAAAGAAAAAGAAATTTCCAGCTGTCTGAATCACCTCAGATCACCAAGAAGTCAAATAGTCATAATTCAATAGCAATATCTAAGAGCACACTAGGAAGAATATCACAGTCATGACTGTTTTGGAACCTACGTAACTGAAGCCAGGTGAAAGCAGGAACAAAAATGCCAGACTGTACTAAAATTGGAGAATTATGATAGTTCCGAGTTGGAGAGACTTTTACTCTGAGTAAACCAACCGGTATGCAGGATGCCTTTCATAGCACCTCTAGGAAGGTCCTAACAATTATTGGAAAACCATCAGTGACCATAAATTTAGTGAAAGACAATGATGTTTTTCCCAGTTGGAACTTTCTATTTGCTATCAACTAATTGCAAATAAAATTTCTTTTATATATTGCAGCCTCTTAAGCCACAGAGTTTGCATCTAATGATATCTTTTCTACTTCTTACATATGATATATGATAGCCCTTAAAAATCTCTCCATCATCCCTGCACATCCATAAACACACACACACACACACACACACACACAAACACACACACACACATACTCTTTTTCTCTGCTCTGGGAAAAAATGCTTAGTTCTTTCACCTTTTTTTCATATAGTATTTTTCTCTAGTATTTTCCCTATCCTGAACCTTGTCCTTTAGACACTTTTGGTTTATCACTGCCCTCACTAAAGCAGCTAATCCCACCACTATTTTTTATTCAGATAGTGTAGCTATTCTGGGAATGTGTTGAAATGAAAGTGATCAGGATTCTATTATCCTTCATATTATCTATCTGCCTAGGTTCAATCTGTCTATTAACTGCCACTCTTCGAATACAGCTGTCCAATTAAAGAGAATATGGAGTCAAAGAATGAAGAACCTAATTGTGTTATTTCATTTACACCCCTAGAAATGTTTAAGCTGCTGAACTAAAAGAAGAAGGGGAGGTAATGCTACCAGAACATGGAAACTCTTTCTGGACCCACAATGGAATACAGGGTTGCACAGGTAAAATAGGGTGTCTGATAGGAGGAAAAGAGGTGAGGTAGTACCTGCCCTCACAAACATTTTATTTTTACTCCAACTATCACTCAGGGACCCTTTATTTGAACCTGTCCCACTGCCTATACCAGAGACAGATGGATTTGCTAAGATATCTGCATATCACTTTTCTTAAAAAAAAAGTATTTTAAAATATTTTCAACTTATTCCGAAGAGACATGGGTTTTTACAGATGTAAGCATTATAGAAATGCCACATAGAAGAGTGTCAAAGACTGTGTAACTGGTGGTTTGCATGGTACAGGCTCTGAATGCTTTTACTAAAGTCAAGAGTCTTTATAAGAGCAGGAGCAAAATCCCAAGGAGGTTGCAAGAAAGCCCCTTGAAAGATCTGTCACTCTGCTGTGATAAAAGCTAACAGACGAAAAAATGGAGCATGTTACCAGCTAGAATTTCAGCTAGTTTCATGAGAATGAAGGAAGCTAGATTGAACATAATTTCTGAATCTCAAGAGAAAAGAAGATTCCATGCAACAAATAAGACCAACTTTCATAAGGTGAAGCCTCCACCTACAATTCTCACTTTAATCAGCTGTGCTTTCAAATGACAGGGAGGCAGCAAACACATTTAAAATATAGGTGCTAATCTGTGTTTACCTGTAGTTTTGAATATTACAGGAAGAATCTGACAGAGAGCTTACTGTGCTGCATAAAACAATTACACAATGAGCTTATTACCAATCCCTGATGAAATTCTTGGTCACAATCCTAGAAGTATTTGTAATTATCAAATTATACCTTATCCTTTAAAACAAAAAAGGTTTGTAGCATTTTATAAAAATATTTCTTCTTAAACAACAAGATTTTATGGTTGCTATTAAAGATACAGAATTCAACGAAAGGTAAAGTGAGGTCTGAATCATTAGGCCAAGCAAAGTAAGTTAGACAATTTAAAGCTGGACTGCAAGTTTGTGTTTGGGCTTTTTGGTGGGTAAATCCAATTGGAAATGCAATGAGTTCATAGGTAGATTCTAATCTAGCTCAGCAGAGCCTGAGATTTCCCTTTAAAACTGTCTCAGGGTGCTACGGAGAGGTGGAGTGGGTGCCTCCAGCTGCCACCCTGGTTTTTACCAGTTTCCCTGTTGTTCTGATATGCTTTATGTGAAGTCCATATGTAATTGTGTTTGAAAAAATTTTCATCAACCATAAGTTATAAAAACAACCCAGACACTCAGAAGAGGTAAACTCATACAGTTCCTGTAGTGGCAGAACCCACACTATCTTTAACAACATCCCTACAATTTGTGCAATAGTGATTTGTGCATGGCTATTTCTGACAGCATTCCGCAGTATGAAATGAGGGCATAACAACAAAGATGTCTTTGATAACAACAACTCTAAAAAGAATCAGAATAATACGACTGAAGTATATAGTTCTCAGATAATGAAGCTTGAGTGAAGAATGGAATTTTAAATACCTATTTTCTAGGGGATATATAGCTAGACTGCATGTCTTCCAGAAGCCCTCAACTAATCATGTTTCTCACAATTAAACTTTTAGAACAATATCTTCAAGGCTATAGTACCTAGGAAGTAGATTTTCCAGATTGCTTATAACCAGTTCGTCCCTGAGTAGAAAGTAGGTTTTCCCTTCTCTATTCTAAAATGTCTGAATTGAAACATATGCCTGAATTGATCCCCCTCCACCTACACACACAAACAGTGACTCTGAGTGGCCCCTGCACCCCAGGCTTTCTCAGGAAGTAGTTAGGATTCATCTGCATTGGTCTCTGCTTAGAGTGAAATTGACCTGTGGATAGAAATAAAAATCACATTAATATTTAAATAGAATGGGTCCTTCATAAAGTTTTATTCTAGTTAATTCATTCTGTAAATTTTGGCCAAGTAGAATACTGAGTAGAAAATATGATGTGGTTACTGATAGAATTAAAGGTCAGTAGGGCTTCACGGCTACTTTATAAGGCAAAGGAAGAAGGTACAATCTTAACCTGACAGTGAATTTTATCCTGAAATCCAGAGCATAGAAAAACTGTAAAATTATATACAGTACATAATAACCTTAACAACTAACAGGATGACCAAAATAAATAACAGCATAAAATGTCACAAAGTAAATATAATATTGTCTATAAGGTTTGTGGAAATTGGCATAAGGTATTTTTTTGGAAAATTAAGTAGGAATTTAGTCACTGTTGCCTGTGCAACGTTTCCTCATTTTTCCTTGAGAGACAGAGCCCAGTTTTGTCCCATTATTTGAGTTGAGTCAGCAAACAGTTTTTATAAAGAGCCACATAGTAAATATTTTCACCTTTGGAGGTGACACGGTCTGTGCTGCAACTAAACTAAACTAAACTAAAACTGCGGCATTTAGGGCAGCACACTAAACTGCACTAAACTCTGCAGATTTAGTGCAAAAGTGGGCATAGTCAGCATGTGAATGAAAAAGTGTAGCTATGCCCCAATAAAACTTTTTTACAAAACAGTCAGAGGGCTGAATTTGACCCACTGGCTACAGTTTACAGACTCCCGATTTAGGAAACATGACCCTATCCCAGCTCTCAGAGTTAAATCTTCTTTGGTAGAAATTCATCAAGATGGTCTTATTTTGCCAGTAGCTGTTTGAGGTGTGCATATGACCCAGTTCTAGCCAGAGTTATGGGAAGAGGAGATCTTCTGGAAGAAGTTTCCTTTCCTAAGAAGGAAACATCAGAAGAGACCATCCCTTGGCACTTCTCATTGTTGTCTGTAAATGTAACACCTAGAACTGCCACAGCCAGCCTGCAACTGGCCTAAGCTTAAACTAGCACAGGGAGGAAGCAGAACTAAGAGACTCCGAGAAGGAGAGCCAGAGCCCTCACCCACCATGCCTCAGAAGTCCCATTTCTCAAATTGTTAGGGAGATAATAGATATGCACAATGGTTAAGTCATTATGAGGAGTCATAGCCTAAAGGAATATAACTGATACTGAAAGAAAAAGAGAAAGATAGACGTACTTTTCTTCCACTTAGATAATTTTAATACACTACTGTTTAATAATGTATATATTCATCATATAGACATTAAAATTAAATATATAAAATATGAATTTTGCTTTCTAGCCTAATAATTTTATTTAAAAGTTTGAGAGTATCCTCCCATCCTAGTTATCAAAAAGTATTATTTTAAATGAGAAAAATAGGAAAAGTAGAAAAATATGACAAAGCATCTTGAGATAAAATT
This sequence comes from Homo sapiens, assembly GCF_000001405.40. Classification (NCBI taxonomy): domain Eukaryota; kingdom Metazoa; phylum Chordata; class Mammalia; order Primates; family Hominidae; genus Homo; species Homo sapiens. The sequence continues at coordinate 129,409,393 of NC_000004.12, read as the reverse complement.
GGTAGATATAAATCATGACAGATGTACAATATCTCTATTACATTCCAAGACAAATTAATTACATATCCGTGAAATTGAAAGTCAATTTTGATGAAAGTCTCTTTCTTTATTTCAGGAGAATGTCCCTTTATCTAAAATTGCCAAGAGGTTTATTATAAACCATTGAATAGTTTTTAGTTTTTGGTTGTCTTTTTTTATTTGGTAATTGTGCACTACTAGAATTCACCAATAGGTCTGTTGACCTATTGTACTCTGAATATACCAGTCCACTATAGCAGATAACATCTTTCACAGAAGCTTGTACCAATATGTATTCCATTCCACATGCCTTAACAATGTGACAATATTTATCTATCCAGAGGTGGGATCTATGTTCCTTTCCCTTGAAATTGAATCTTTTTAACTTCTTGAACCAACAGAGTTCAGCAGAAGTCATGCTGCTTGACTTTGAAGCCTAGTTCATAAAAGTCAATGGTTTCTGCCTTTATTTCTCTGTCACTCTCTCTATTTACGGATACTTGCCCTTGTAACCCAAACGCCGTATTGTAAGGAAGCGCAGGCCTCATGGGAAAGTCACATGTGGGTGTTCCAGCCAACAGCTGCCATTCGGCCCCCACCAACAGTCAGTATCTATCACCAGACATGACAGTAAATGCACCTTAGGATGATTCAAACCCCCAAAAGTGTATACATTTAAGGTATACAATACAATGTTTTGATCTACTTATACATAGTGAAATGATTGCTGGTCAAGCAAATTAACATATCCATCATCTCACATAGTTACCTTGTTTGTGTGTATATGGTAAGAGCACCTAAAATCTACTGTCTTAGCAAATATCCTGCATACAATACAGTTTAACCTCCAACATTTTAGTCTTCTACCTAAGGCCCCAGATATTGTGGAGCAAAGACGAACCATCCCTGCTAAACACTTTTTGAATTTCTGACGCACAGAAACTGTTAGAGAGAATAAATGATTAATTACTGTTTTAAGACACTAAGTTTCCCATAATTTTTTATGTAGTAATAGGTAACTAATAGAGTCAATATGGGCATACTTCTTTGTTCACTGGATAAAACCATTCCAATGAAAATATCTATATTTTGTTTTACTTCTGTTTCCTCAGAAAGAGTTAGTATCTGTTTTCATAAATATCAAGTATTATCTTGTTTACTTATACTAGGCACTGCCAGCATATAGGATTCGGTCACTCTGAGTGTGGGGTGGTTACTACACATGAATAGCAAAGTACAATTGTATATAATAGGATACTTTTTTGTAGGGACAGAGACAGTGGGAAAGATGCCATGGTTCTGTCTCTAGCTGATTAGCTTTCCTTATTAAAAATATGGTGCTAATGTGGCTAAAGTCAGTGATCTTTTTCCCATATTTAGAGTCATTAGCCAAATATTTAAAAACTAGTCTTGCTTAAATATCCCATAAACCTACGTGCAATGCGCCGGGCACAGTGGCTCAAGCCTGTAATCCCAACACTTTGGCAGGCCAAGGCGGGTGGATCACGAGGTCAGGAGTTCGAGACCAGCCTTGCCAACATAGTGAAACCCCATCTCCACTAAAAATACAAAAAGTTAGCCGAGCATGGTGGTGGGTGCCTGTAATCCCAGCTACTTGGGAGGCTGAGGCAGGAGAATGTCTTGAACCCATGAGGCAGAGGTTGCAGTGAGCCGAGATCACCCCATTGCACTCCAGCCCAGGCGACAGTGCAAGACTCCATCAAAAAAAAAAACAAAAACAAAAACAAAAAACCTATGTGCAATGGACATATGGACATAGTTTTCACAACACTTCAGTCTCATCAAGTATCAGTGCTGGAGCTTCTTTTCCATCAAACCCCCTCTAATGGAGTGTTCACAAACCATAATACTTATAACTAACCTGACTCTACCACCTGGGACGAACATAATTGCCAGGCAAGCATAGCTGATGTGCAGGCATCATCTTAGCTTCTCCATACCCTGTGCAATGTCCACCAGTGGCACTGGCCCATCTTCTAGGCAGACCTGCTCCTCTCCAGAAAGTCTCCCCAAATTCTCTCCTCTCTGACTGCAAACCTCTTCTTTGGGCATAATCAATCATCTCTCCTCCTTTCCCCCACTTAGCCATCCTTCCAGATCCCAGAGTAGGGGTAGAGGTAGGCTAGAATGATTTTACTTTCCCAGATCTATTGCTGTGATATAAACTCTTTGCCCTGCTACCCTCAGGCTTTCTCTTTTTATTCCCAAAATCTGTTTGGGACGTTTAAACACACACACACACACACACACACACTGACTGATTACTTCTTCCTATTTCCAGTCCCATGATACAATCCTACATCTCCCCAGAGGCAAAATAGATATCTGTGATTGAATAGAGGAAAGGTTTTGAGAAGAAAATAGAAGAAAAGAAAGCACAGATATTAATATTTCAAAAGCGTCTCTTGTCACACATGCCAATGGCCACAAAGAGACCAGGACAAGAGAGTTCAGGTGATTCAGTCCAAATTTTTCATATAAAAATAGAAACCAAATAACGATAAAAAAAGACATAGGCTACTGGAAAATCTCCTAGAAAATTAATTGAGGTTTCCTGCCTTTCAGTCAGAGGTTAGTCGAATTATCATTGTGTTTGAGAAACAGCTTGTCTTGAAAAGCCCTGCTGTTGGCGATGGGGAGAATGAGTTTTCAGGTAAACCACAGAGGTCATAATAATGGCTTAGTGGAGTCATTTATAAATGAAATTATAGTGCTGTAATTTATAGTTTCTTTACCATATGTGGGACTGGCAGGCAAATAGATATGTTTCCAAAAAGTAAAAGGAAATTTGGGTACCCAGGGACATGAGTGTGAATTTCTTCAAATGCATTACTAAATCTTTGGTGGCCACTCTGCTGGTATCACACATGAACAAGAGAGAATGGTGATGAGGAAGAGGGTGTACTTTATAGAAAAAAAATCTGTGTTGCTGATGCACTGCCATCTCCACCACCTCACAACACAGCAGCACCCCACAGTGCTTAAACCACCAGGAATAGTAACAGGCCCAATGCCCAAGACGCGAAAGCAGAGAATGAATTTTAAAATAAACCAAAACAAAGTACATATCGGAAAGGAAAGGAACTATACAGGTCATTTCTGTCCTCCCACTCCATCTCCTGTGTAACCTCCCTGACCATTAGCTGACCATTCTCCCTGTTTATACCCCTGTATCACTGGAGGGCTTGTCCTTCCCCAAGCTGCCCACTCCAGTTTTAAATTGTTAAACCCATAAGAAAGGTTTCACTTTTATTGAGCTAACACTTACTGTTCTACAATTTCCACTCTTTGGTCCTACACAAACTAAGCCTACTCCATTTTTCATATGTCATTCTTTCAATATTTTTGAAGACTATAGTCAAGTAAGAGCAACAAAGATGTGAAGGGTAGGAATGAGACTGAGCAAATAAGTCAGTTTCTAGATGGTCTACATCCTGCAGGCCACACTGAATCAGATACAAAGAATAGGAACCCAGTCAGTGACACACAGTAGAGAAGCATCAAGTTAGCTTGCTGTGCAGTATTCCTCCCTCCTTCAGAGGATGTGGACATTATGGGACAAAGAGATCCTTGCTTTCCTTAGAGTATTAAAGGTAATATCCCCAGTACACCCCTCCGCAAATGTGCATAAGACCCAGCTCTTCTGGAAGTATATCCATAAATGGCTTCTGCTAATTATTCTCACTGTGTGAACTTTTAAAATGCTGTGCCAAGCAAAATGTGGACAGTTTTCTTTGTAACATTGCCCAAACGTAGAAGTTTTCTTAAAGTTTTTTCATCATTTTTCTGCTTTTAACATGGCTCCTTTCCCCAATATATGTACCTTGAATTCCCTGTTGCTAAGCTATTGTTTATCTACATAACTATATTTTAAACTCAGTATGACCCTCTAACAATCAAAACTATTTTTCAAAAGAAACCAATACTGAATTGTGGATCTGGCAATCTTTTTGTTGCAGTTATTTGTATACTGGAATTAATGCCACATACTCAATTGGCTTTACAAACTCAAAATCTGAATTACTGCTTTGTTCCATTGTGTTCTTTCTCTGATACGCCAGCTTTTCATTCTTTAGGCCTGAGAGGTTAGTGGCTTTATTTTACAGAGAAGTCAAAAACTGAGGCAAAAAGTTATGAGTAGAATATTATTAAGGAGATCCTGTTTTTACTATTTCCCAGAGCTAAAATGTTATCATAGCAAGATTTGAATGGGTAAAAGCTGGTACAGTTCAATTAAGCACTGAAAGTAAATGAAAAATTTTGAGATAAAAGAAACAGGCAAAAGATTACATTAAATTTAAGTCTTTCTTTAAAAATAAATAAAAAGGCAGGCATACAATAATTCACAAAAGTCATGTGCTTGATTTACTCAACCTCTCTGCAGTTACTATTTCTCATTAACTTACCCAAGTCAGCATCACTCCTTAGGGGAAAAAAAAGGAAATTTTGGCGTATCAAGGAATAAATAGAACACTGTGGCATTATTCAGTGAATCATTTTTGGGGCAAATTTAGTGCTGTTTTCATGTCTTTGTATTTTTTCTAAGTCTATGTTTGTCAATGTCAATTCAACCCTCCCTGAAAACAACAGAGCTACAATTAGAGATGTAAAAAGCAGTTTGTGTATAATTTAAATGCTGCAAACTGGCAATCTTCTCATGAAAACCACAAACAATTACTTCCATTCTCATGCACCAGTGCATCTGGTGCACCACCATTTTTGATCTGAGATTGCATATGAATTGATAGTTAATTTCACAGCTAGAAAAAAAGCTCAATTTTTTTGACAAGGGTGAGTTCTTTGCTATTCAGTCACGGCACATGCTTATCTGGTTAATGGCTTAAATTATAAAATCTACTAACCAAATTCTTTTCTCTGCTTAACTAACTCAGGTAGTTTTCCTGGAGTCAACAATATCGGATATTTCTAACCCTTTCTTGAGGTAGGCCTAAATCCTGATGTGTTGAGAACAATCAGTCATGGGGAGCCCCATGAAGATGAAGAGTATTGAATAATATCAAAAAGGAGACATTTGGTTTCCATTTGATCTGTACTTTGCCAACTCTGATCAAAAGTAAAATAAAAAAGAAATTAATGAAAGTAAATCCAGCTTTGAACAATCCCCAAATAGGCCCGTTGCACTGAAGGGCACCTTCATTAAAGAAAGATTTGCAGACTTCTTAAAAAGACATGTATTTGCATCTATTTAGTTTATACATGAAGAAATAACATGTGGGGAAAATATTTAAATAAACAAAACCACAGAGATAATGAAAGCCTTTGGTACAACATTGATATGCAAGAACATACTTCAGGTTCACTCAAGAGGAAGTGAGCTTTCATGCAAAGGCATCAGTAATGGACTTTCTATTTCCTTATTAGAATTAACCTTGATCTGGAAGAAAAAACTTTTTTCTTTACTGTTGAATACATATTTCACTCCATCTAATGTATTCCACTAAAACCTTTTTTAAAAAAAGTGGCACTTGTGCTGGAATTTATTATTCCTGCAACGGGCATTACTAGAAACAAAATAGCTGAGAGAACTATTTATTTTGAAGGAAACAAGTTATTTCTACAGATCATAATGGTTTTATAGGGAATGCTAGAATTTCCTTCCCAGCAGGTATTTTCAAATAGGATAGATTCTCCCCACTACAGAAGAGTTTAGGCAAAATCTGCCAATGGCAGAAAAATGAACTAGATTATTCCTTAAAATTCACTCCAAGCCTATTCTTTCATGCCTCTAGTTTCCAATTGCTAGTTCTTAAAATCAGAGCAGTGAGTGGAAAATATGACTTATTAGCAAGCTGTAAGCACAGCCTGATTCAATCTCACATATATTTTAATATTTTAAGGTTTGAATTCTATAATTTGAACTCAAGGCCATATTATACTAGCGTGCTGTCTCCATTTCTCTCTAGCTTGGTAGGACATAATGTGTGAGGAAAGTAGACTTATATTTCAAAGTCTTTCCCACACAGTGCAGTACTTCCTTCAAAGGCACAACATCTGCTGGCTGTTTGAGCTATAAAAAAAAATAAAATAAAATAAAAATAAATAAAAAGGTAAATTAAAAAACTTGAACAGGCCAAGTACAGTGGCTCATGCCCATAATCTCAGCACTTTCGGAGGCCGAGGCAAGTGGATCACCTAAGGTCAGGAGTTTGAGACCAGCCTGGGCAACATGGTAAAACTCCATATCTACTAAAAATACAAAAATTAGCTGGGCATGGTGGTGCATGCCTGTAATCCCAGCTACTTGGGAGGCTGAGGCAGGAGAATGGCTTGCAGTGAGCCAAGATTGTGCCACTGCACTCCAGCCTGGGCAACAAGAGCGAGACTCCGTCTCAAAAAAAAAAAAGAAAAAAAAAAAATCCTTGAGCAAAGTGTGGTCATTCCTCCACAGATTGGATACTTCAAGAAGAAGTGATGCTACCTTTGATATTTTGAGTCACATAAATATTTATTGAATTATGCTGTTGAGAATGTTAGCATAATAGAAAATTCAGTCCTCACACTCAAATAACATGTAGCCTTAAAGCTGAAATATGAGAGCCTCCACCTATCCCCAATGTCCTCCAAGATATGCATTTCTTGTAAAACTTTACATAAACTGACAATACAGTTTTTATTGGGAGAAGATGCTAGAACAATTGAAAAAATAAAAGTAACCCAAGCATAGATACTTTGCTGGGTCTGAGGGCCCAGCAAAGATTATTTTAGAGTCTTTATGCATTAATTGCAATTTGACTAATGTTGGACTACAAATACCTTCCCACAACTCTTGCCACTTCTTCAAGACATCCCCAGTCCCGGGGATATCACTATTTCAAAGCAATCAAGAATTCTAATTTGACTCCATATTTTGCACTTGAAATTTACCTCACTTTGATCTTCATAAAGAATTTATCAAGAACCCACTAAATGTGAGAAACAAATGACCAAAGGCATTCTTCACTGTTTATATAAGATGCTTTGGTTTTCCAATGATTTCATAGTATAAAACTTGCTAATGAACATCCGATGAATACAACCTCAGCGATTTGAAAAACTTACAAAATATAATATCTCTGTTGAGCACTTAGTGTTATAAAGAACATAAAACATAGCCTTTGTTTAAAAGTTAATGTTTATTTAGCTGTGTTAATTGTTGATGAGTTAATGTTTATGAATTAATGTTTAATTCAACTGTGCAAAATATTTTCACTGATCCCTTTCAATGTCCATAAGTATATGATTGTATAGAGTCTAATGACATATTATATTCTGCCCTGTTACCTTATTTGCTTACCTGTCTTATTCTTGTCAAGTTTATAATTCTTCGATACTATGATTTATGTCTTGCTTATGTTTTCTAAATCCTGGGGAATCTTATATACTAATTTTCTCATAATAGTTGTTCAATAAATATTTGTTGAATTGAATGACCCACTACTACAGAGATCTTGAGTATTAATAGGGATATAGGAGGAAAAGATTTGGCTTGCCAGACTGCCTTGTAAACATAAACACTCTTTATATAGATGACAATATTAACTGCCTTCTCGACAGTTCTGACATTGGCATTTAACCCGCATTAGAAGTGTAAGTACATTTCCAGTTTTGTGACTGGATTCTATCTCATGTGTTTCTGTTACTTCAAATGAAAGCTCTACTTATATCTTTTTGTTGCTTTTTTAACTTAGGAACACTTCGGAGTTTATCTTGCTGGGATAAATTTTTCACCTATTTTACAGATAAAATCGATCAGTTTCAGGAAGAGTTCAGTAGCTCTGTGGGAGCTGTGTGAAAGCCCAGGGTAGGAGATGCAATGTTTTTGCTTTCTGCTTTCCACACATTTTTCCTGTCAAAGTTTTAAGTCAGGTTCTGCAATAACATTCAGCCCCTCTTTGGAAAAATTATAGCCTTCCTAAAGAATAACAAGATGTGGCCTCCTAACATACGAAAGAATATTGGCAGCTATGAAAGACAAAAAGTTGCTAGCATTACTTATGAATATGCATTTGGTATTTCAACAATATAGGTATGGAAAGCATATTAATTAACCATAAGAAGGTCCAAATAATACAAGGCAGATTTTAGTGGGGCTTAAGTTGAGAGTTTACAGTGAAAACCTGATGACACATCAATGTACAAATTGTTTGTATTGAGTTGAAATTCTATGCTGCTCTCTTTTCTGACTGTATAATCGTCTTCCTACTCCCTCTACGTTACACAGCCAGAAGGAGCCACATCAGATCCCAGAAAATTGAGACCTTGATAAAAAATAATTTCATTGACAAAATCTCTTTGGCAGCTGGCATTGTTGTGACACTGAGGTGAACATCACATATCCAGCTGAATCCCAACACACACATGCTTTTTCACTTAAAAAAAATTACCTTAGTAACAGTGTTTAAACTTCAAGCAAGAAAGTAGGAATTAAAGACCAATCAAAAATTTACCCCAGTCTCATATGAGAAGGATCCTTTAATTTGCAGCCACAAATATGTTTTCTAGTTACATTCAATTCATTGTCAGTTCCCCTAGAACTAGATCTATGAAGTCTTTTCCAATTCTAGTTCCCATTTCTGAGAACTCAGTATCAGACTACACCTCCTTCAACTGTTGTTACACAGATAATCACAATAATGGGCTACAAGCCCAAACCAGGCTTCAATATTTTTAAAGAGACAACACAGCAATTAACTTCAAATCTCCTATAAACATCTCACATCAAAGTGTTTTGGGAATTTTACAAACAGAGGATATATCTAACCTCTCCTCCCAGCCTCTGGTAACTATTCTACTTTCTACTTCTATGGAGGTTAATCAGCAAGTACAAGCTGCAGTTAGACAGAAGGAATCAGCTCTGGTGTTCTATTCCACAGTAGGGTGACTATGGCTAACAAAAATGCATTATATATTTCAAAATAGCTAAAAGAGAAAATTCAAATGCTCTTATCTTAAGGAAATGACAAGTGTTTGAGGTAATGTGTTGCAGGAAGTCAGGGACCCCAAACGGAGGGACAGGCTGGAGCCGCGGCAGAGGAACATACATTGTGAAGATTTCATTTTAATGTGGACATTTATCAATTCCCAAATAATACTTTTATAATTTCTTACCCGTGTCTTTACTTCAATCTCTGAACATAAATTGTGAAGATTTCATAGACATTTGTCACTTCCCAAATAATACTCTTATAATTTCTTATGCCTTATTTTAATCTCTTAATCCTGTTATCTTCATAAACTAAGAATGTACATCACCTCAGGACCACTGTGACAATTATGTTAACTGTACAAATTGATTGTAAAACGTGTGTTTGAACAATATGAAATCAGTGCACCTTGAAAAAGAACAGAATAACAGCAATTTTCAGGGAACAAGGGAAGACAACCAAAAGATCTGACTGCCTGCAGGGTCAGGAAAATAGAGCCATATTTTTCTTCTTGCAGAGAGCCTATAAACAGACATGCAAGTAGGGAAGATATTGCTAAATTCTTTTCCTAGCAAGGAATATTAATAATTAATACCCTGGGGAAGGAATGCATTCCTAGGGAGAGGTCTATAAACAGCCACTCTGGGAGTGTCTGTCTTATGTGGTTGAGATAAGGACTGAAATACACCCTGTTCTCCTGCAGTTCCCTCAGGCTTACTAGGATTGGGAAACTCCACCCTGGTAAATTTGTGGTCAGACCGCTTCTCTGTTCTCGAACCCTGTTTTCTTTTGTTTAAGATGTTTATCAAGAAAATACGTGCACAGCTGAACACAGACCCTTAACAGTACTTCTGATCTTGCTCTTGTCCTGTTTCCTCAAAAACATGTGATCTTTGTTCTGCCTTTTGCCCTTTGAAGCATGTGATCTTTGTGACCTACTCCCTGTTCGTACACCCCCTCCCCTTTTGAAATCCTTAATAAAACTTGCTGGCTTTAAGGCTCAGGTGGGCATCACGGTCCTACTGATATGTGATGTCACCCCTGGAGGCCCAGCTGTAAAATTCCTCTCTTTGTATTCTTTCTGTTTATTTCTCAGCCAGCCAACCCTTATGGAAAATAGGAAGAACCTATGTTGAAATACTGGGGGCAGGTTCCCCCGATAGTAATGGATATGCTAATGACCAAACTTTGATTATTACATAATGTATACATGGATCAAACATCACACTGTACCCCATAAATATGTGCAATTATTATGCATCAATTAAGAACAACTCAAAACTTTAAAAAAAGAAGGTATACATGGCATTAGACTGGAAGAGGGATTACATTTATATATATATATATATATAACCACACACACATATACACACACATATACATATATTTATCTTTCATAGCTCAGAATTATACATTGAACTTGGTGTTATGGGATGATTCTGAAAGAAGAATACTACTGAGAACACTTTCCTGAACTGTTATTTGAGGGAAAATAAACTTGTTTTGAACTTTTTAGAGTTTTACTCTATTTGTTAGAGCAGCAACTGGCCTGCCCTAAGTAGTTGTACCTGAGCTTTTGAAAGAGGGTTGTAATCGATAGACACCATCTCCATAGCTCAGTCTAAGCATCTACTTCACCTTCTACACATGATGTGGGGGCTGTAAACAAAGAGATTTACAGAGTGCACCAACAATAGCATGTGTGGTGCAATCAAATTGATGGTCAGATGCTTCTGAAGCAGCTGGGAGGCCAAAATGCTACAGAGACTGTAGAGGACAGAAACAAACTGCAGCACTCCCATCCACCACCCTTGAATCTACAGAAAGAACTTAGGTGGGCAGCAATGCGCCAGCAAACAGCCATGATTTGACTTACCCTCTTATCGAGTCCCCAGTTGTAAATGGCCTTTCTCCATTAGAACCATCTCGGGTTTTTTCCCCTGCAACTTTTTCCCAAACTTAGTATCAAGCTTTATTTTTTCTTTCTGAATAATTCTAAATTATTCTAACTGGAGTGAGCAAAAATGAATTAAAAATAGCTTTATAAAACCTTCTTTATCTGTATCCATTGAGTCACAAAAGCAGGACATACACACAAGGCAGAATTATAATGAAAGAGAAAATCTATGTATAAGTACTGAAGGGATTAGCTCTGGCTTATCGCCTTGTTGACATTATTGACATCACCTAGAAGCATCCTGATAAAAGATATCATTCCATTATCAACCAGAAATTACCAAAATATGGAGGCAGGGAGGGAGAAAGTGTCCTGCTGCATTCTCTTAAAATTAGCAATGACCTTGCTAATTAAAACTTAATTGTGAGAGAGTAACATGTAGATGCCCCCCTTTGAAAAACTGGCATGGATCCCCACTCATTTAAAAGTTGTCACTTACAAACCTAATGAAATTGGCTTATTAAAATGAACACTAATGGAAGGTTCTGTTGCTCAGAGATGACAGGACAGAGGATTGAGGGGAGGAAGGAATGAGTGTGTATGTCTTGTATTGCCTTTTATTATCTGAGAAGACACCTCTGACAGCAAGAACACCGTCAGGAGGATGAAAACAAAATGAGTGTGGCAGAAGCCACATTCTCCTTGTTTATTAATATGCATTATATATAGCTCTAAGCCACTGGGTGCCACAGATAGGTGGGTTATTCTATTCAAGTATATTTATTTTAAACAAGTGTATGAAGAGAGATTCAAGGACAACACAGTTTGGTATACCTTATTTTATTTTTTATGTGTCTGTTTGGGAAGCTCTTTTAGTCTGGCATGAGGCAAGAGAGTAGATTATTCTTTAAAGAACTAAAAAATTCAGGGACTGCATTAACCTATCTTCTCAGTGAGTCATCCAAATAGTGCTTCAACAAGTATACACACACACACTCTCTCTCTCTTTCTCTCTCTCTCTTTTCACTCTAAAATGCTTTTCACCTTACATTTTTCCATGCTATCCCCAACTGCCTAACTTCAGAAAACCTATGAATGCTAAGGTGTTCCTTATTATGAATGCTAAGGTGAAATGGTTCCCATTACTCTTATCCAAACAGCCAATAAAACAACCTCCCATTTAAAAAAAAGATATGCATAATAATAGAAAAAAATGTTCTTTCTAATCTAACTCAGCTTCTTTTTGATTTTCTCAGAATCTGTCATATTCAAGGGACCACCATGTGAGGTTGCACCTCATTTCTGCACAAACCCATATTTTCAGATCTGAAAAATCTATAGAAAATAGTAGTGAGAAATAGCCTTGGGTTTGGAGCCAAGTGGCTTGAATCCATATGTTGACTATGCCACTTTCTAATGGTGTAATCTGGGGTAGTAAAATTATTTTCTCTGGTCCTTAGTTTCCTATCTTTGTCAGGTTATTAAAAGTATCTTCTTGTTAAGGCTTTACTAAAGCATTTAACCCAGTACCTATGAGGTGAAAACTCAGTAAACATTAGCCTTTACTCTTCTATGCTCTATTGAACAAGCCACATAGCTTTGATCTGCTTTTCTTCCTTCTGCTTACCTTCAGCACAGTGACATTTTGTCCTTACCCAAGAATTGCTCATTGTTTTAGAAGCCTTTCTTTACTCATTCTCAATAAGCATCCTATTTATTTGTCTGAATTATTCTTCTCTTTGTCATTATATTAATAAAATAGTTTATTGAATTCTTAAGGGATGTCCTTCTCTAGCAAGCCCTTTATTAAGTAAATTCTATTCACAGCCTGACCTGTCCAATGAGAGATTTAATAGAGTGACAGAAGGTGAGAGAAGAGGAAAAGGGAGAAAAGTTAACTAAAAAAACGTGGAAGGAAGCTGAAGTGCTCACAAGGATTTTATCAAGCCTTGACCCAAATAAAGCCTCTACAATGGCAGCTCCTGCAATGAGATGTTACGAGAGCACAGTTTGCAAGAATTCTTAACCTGGAAACAATCCTAGAGAAAATGTGCTACATTCAAACACCTTATAAAAGAAAAGAAACTAAGGCATGAAAAGTTTAAATGCCTATAGCACAAGGCATGTAACTATTAAATAGTATACCCAAATCCTAAACCCTAGATACCTTACTCTTAGGACAGAGTTTCTGCCCCTAAATCTTTGTATCCTCTAGACTATTAACCTAAGAAGCCATTTATTTATCCAGTCACAAGAAATTATCTTTAATTTAAGACATCTATTTGCCTATCTTCTCAACACTGGATGGACTTTGCCTGGAACAGGACTGTCTATCGCGTTTCACTAGAATTGGATCTCCACGTTCTCCAAATCTTCTGAAGCACTTTGGTTACATGTCCCCCAAAGACAGCCCTACCTTAGTCAATAGAGTAAGCACCTAGATGATGATATAAATATAAACACATTATGAATTGAAAGAGAACAAAAGTTATACATACTCAAAATTATCTTCCTAAAAATTTTTACTATCTTTTTAATAATTTTTTAGGAAAATTACTTTTAGGCAGACATTGCATTCGGTATTTTAATCTACCTCTTCTCATTTAGTCATTCAAAATATTAGATATTCCATATATACTTTTGAATGAAGGAATATAATTTAGGTGCCTCACCGACACTTTCATCAAGATAGGACATCAAGATAGTGTCTTAGGAAAGAGTGTATCCAAAGGCACTAGCTAATGCATGACAAGTCCAGATTTCAATCCAAGCATCTTTGAGAACAAGCCCATTTACTTTCCTCTCTACTTGACATCATTGTAGCCATTTCAGTGGGTCAAAGACATCATCTTCAGAAAGTGTCCATTACTTAATGGGTCCTCAGAGTAGAAATGTATCAATCATTTTACACAGTGAATACCTTAGTGAAAATGAATTGATTGAAGTGCCTAGTAGAAAAGAAGCATTTGAGGGAAAAAGGGCTCAAAACAGGTGAGATTTGATTGAAGCAAGGGAGTCAGCACAGATATGAAGTCTCAGGCAGGCCTGGTCAATAGAGCAGGCAGTTGCAGCAGTGCAGGGGAGGCCCTGGCAAAGCAAGGCCCTGCATTGAGGAGCGATAGTGGGGCAGAGGCACTCCACAGTCCTCCATGGACCGGCCCTGACTCCAACCATCATTGTAAATGTGAAGTGCTCCTTGGATCCGATTTTGAGGGTTTTGGTTTTAGGATTTCACTGCTATTTTCACTCTGAAAGGTCATTAGAGAGTACGTTAGATGGCGATAACTCTGTCTCCAGCTCAGTGTGCTGCTTCTATAAGTGTGCCCTCCTGAAAATAAACTACATCTGGCAACCACTCGTGTGAATTACCTAAATAAAAGACTCACACTGTTAATGGAGCACTTTTGTACTAGAAAAAGAAACCATTAGACTTGATGTTAAAAGAAACTGCTACTGTCATTCACTTGATTGATTGCATCTTTTATTAGGTCTTCACTGAATTATTTTACGGTTTTTCTCTTTTTAATCTGCTCCCCTTTATTGGGATATTAAGAATGTATATTTTGAAAGTAGTGGTAAAAAATGTTGAGAAGTATAAAAATCAGATCATAAAAGCCTTTTCATGGGTGGCATTATGAACGTAGCTGTCATGTGGAGTCTGCAATGTAGGTGTACGTTTCAGGGAGTACCGATTATGTTGTAAAGAGAAGTGGAAGTATAAATTGGACCTTCAGGTTTGGTGAAAGAAAGGGAATGAAGGCAAAGGAAAAGTAAGTGTGAGTTATATATTACAACCATTAACAAAGAGACCTCCTTCAGTCACGGCCTTCCAACTAATGATTTCTGAAGTGGTATTTTCAAGTACCAGATGTAAACTCTGCTCAGCGGGGCATGCTCTGTTTGAACTCCCTCCCTGTTTTATCATCTGGCAGAGACTACGTTCCACCTGGCTAACACATCAGAAAATGTCCTAGGTTTAAATATATGTACCTGCATCACGAGGGACCCCGCTGCAGTGGGTATAACTGGAGCATCTGTGTACCTAGAGAACAAGGAATTTGGTGCATGATGAAACAGATCCAAGTGATGCACACCGCAAGGGAAGTGTGAGAGAAAGAGTTGTTATGGAACTCTGACTGGCCAAATGTGTGCATGGTGATGGGAGCCCTCAGGACTCTGGGAGACAGCTAATAATCATTGTGACAGGCTGTCAAGCTTCCATTTTTTCCCTTTCCTGTTTTGCATATTGACCCTGAACTGGGTAGCATGTTCATTTTCTATGCCTCGCCACATAGCATCAGGGCTGGGCCAGTCTTGGCTGGAATCTGTGCTAACTAATGAGCAGCCGCCTTTGACAGTTGCTCAGAATCACATGCTTGTATTTATAAATGCTGTGCACAGAGACACGCTGGTAGGCAAGGCTGCTGAGGGTGCCACGCTGCTGAGGTGCAGAGGATTTCAGGTGAGTGGAAAGAATCTCATTAGCAAGGTCTCTCCTATTCTTCCTGTGTAGCTGCCAGAGGCCAATGAGTCCAGCAAGGAGGTACACAGGCACAGTAGTAGTTGTGATCTGCCTGTACTCGAAGTGCTGGCCTAAGCACCCCACTTGCCATTCCCAATTCACTAACCAAAACAATTTTTGAATTCAGTGTATTCATCTTTGTCTTAGGCTGAATTCTCTAAAACCAGACCCTGAGGAAAAGATGATTGTAAAAGTGGTTTATTAGAAAATGTTTCCAGAAAAAAAAAAAAAAAACCAGTAGAGGGAGTAGAGAAGTGGAACTGTTACAGGATCCTTGGGGTGTAAATTTTGGCTGAAAACCTCTGTGGCCAGTGGTGTCTTTGCTCAAGTTTTGCTTGGGCCCACCAGGCTGGTTCTGCCCGCTCAGCCTGGCAAGCTATGCTCAGCTCATGCTCCTGGCCTATATCTTACACCTGCCAAGAGTGAGTCAGGAATGGAGTGACGAGGGGTGTGTGAACAAGCATGGGGTCTGGCCACTGCACAGTCAGACAGGCCGGCTGCTGCAGCAGGTGGGTTGCTCCAGGTGCCATCATGGGTGCCAGCTCTCTGAGAGGCTGCAGCTGGACCAGGAGCACTGCAAGCAGCTTCCGTGGCTGGCACCAGGGAATGAGGTAGGACCCTGAAGCCTGGAGGTGCCAGGAACTACAGGCACCCAAACAGGGAGTCACAGCCCTGGCTTGAGGAGCTCCCAGGTCTGGGGTCCCCAAAGGGCTGCAGCTCTTCTCTCCTTCTCTGTGTCCGCAATGTGGCAAGCAAAGGGAATGTTTCAGGTCTATTTGTGTTATGGCTTTTTTACCCCTGCCATTCGACGGGTCCTGAGTTCTTGTCCTGTGACCAGGAAGAATGAGGTATGCAGACAAGTGGAGGGTGAGCAAGATGACAAGGAGTTTATTGAGCAACAGAATAGCTCAGAGGAAACTCGCAGTGGGTAGCTTCTTTCCACAGCCAGGGTGTCCCGATAAGTGTCCAGCTCCTAGCAGAGAGGAGACCCTGGAGTGGGTAGCTCCTCTCTGCAGGCAGGTCCTCTCATTGTGCCCCCAGTTCTCAGCAGAGAGGAGGCCCTGGAGTGGGTTGCTCCTCTCTGCAGCTGGTTGTCCTGACATCTGCTCAGCTCTGACTGAGCCCAGGGCTTTTATGGGACTCAGTGGGGAGGAAGTACGCACCAATTGGTCCATGGGCCGCCATGAGTGGGCCCGGAAAAGGCACCACAAGTTCCCAGTCCTGTCCATGGGACTGGCAGCCTGGCACCCAGCCTTTAGGCCCACCCTGGCCTGAAGGTGGAGCCTCACTGGGCCTTGCCCCCTTCTGCCCAGGAACCTGTCTACCTTCTGCTGCTTTTCATGGTGCCCAGGCTGTAGGTGCCCAGGGGCACCTGCAGGCTAGTGCTGAGCTTCCCTCAGCCCCCCATCAGCTTCCCTCCTATGATCATCGGTGCCCAAAGTCCAAAGGGGGCCGAGGCAGACAGGGGCTGGTGTGTCATCACTGCCCCAACCGTGTGCACACCTAGCCAGGCTGTGACAGTAACCGGGCTCAACCCCAACTTTTCTCCTAAATGGGAGCAGGTGCCAACAGCAGAGAGAAGGCAGGCAGTGGGAACAGGCACTTCCAAGCCTGCAAGGGCAGGGGGGACCTTCTTGGGCCTCCAAGAGTGCAGGGAGGCCTGGGTCCACAGCCGTGGTTTGGGTAGCTGCAGCTGTGCCTGGGTGTTGGGTAGGGGGAGGTCCTGTCTGCTCCCAGCCCTGCCAAGAGCACAGGGAGGCCTGGGTCTGCAGCTGCAACTTTGGCAGCTGCAGCTGAACCCAGGAGGGTGGGGCTCCTACCTGCTCCCTGGCCCCAAGAGCACAGGGATACCCAGGTCTGCAGCCATGGCTTGGATGGCTGCAGTGGCACCCAGGGAGCTCCAGCCCCAGTTTGGAAGGGGCAGGGCTCCTGCTTGTCCCTGGCTCCCACTGGCCCCATGGAGCATGTAGCCTTGGCTGTGCCTTTCTGCTGCAGCTGGCATGATGGCAGCAGCTGCTCCAGACAGCCCACCACTGCCATCAGGACCACAAGGAGAGGAAGTTATGGTAGACAGAATTATGCCCCTGCCTTTTTCCCAGATGTCCACCTCCTAATAGCCAGGACCTATGAATACATTGCCTTATATGGCAAAAGGGAATTAAAAGTTGCAGATGAAATTACAGTTGCCAATAAGCAGACCATAAAATAGAGAGATCACCCTGGATTCTATGGATAGGCCCAATCTTGTCACAAGAGTCTATAAATGTGAAAGGGGAAGCAGAAGTGTAGGTCACGGAGAAGGCAGCACGAGAAGGATGTGATTCTCTGTGATGTCTCTTAGATGTTGGAGGTAATGCGCAAGGAACAGAGGCCTCTAGGAGCTAAGGGTGAGTCCCAGCTGACCACCAACAAGAAAAGAGGACCTCAGCCACAGAGAATGGAATTCAACCAGCACCCAAGGAAATGAACAAGGAAAATGATTCTCCCCTAGAGCCTACAAAATGAAGCACCAGTGAGACCATACGGGATGCCTGACATGCAGAACTATAAAATAGAAAATAATACATTTCTTCTGTTTTAAGTCACTCAAATTATGAGTATTGGTTACAGCACAAATAGGAAACTAATGCAGAGGCCAGGTGAAGATGTGATATCAAGCAAAGTGCCACGGAGAGTAACTAGCTCAATTCCTTGGAGGAAATCTGGTGACAGTGTGAGTCACACCTCAGAGTTTGTATAGCAGGGACCAGAGAACTGGGTATTACACCATGGCATCCATCAAGCATTGCTTAAGGGCTAGGAGGTGGAGTAGCTATAGAGAACCTAATTTTCTAGGTATTCTTACTCTCCCCATACACAGGAAAGCCTCCTGCTGCCTGAGGGCAGCCTTCCAACTAAGAGGAGCAGGTGTAGGGAAAGAAACAATGAGATCCAGTGTGCAGGAAAATGACGAAGGGACCCAAGGAGGGTGTGGGCAGAGTGCTGATACTGTCTGCTACAACCATCCATCATCATAAATATGCACACTCCAAAATCTGCTGTTTAAATAATCCCACTGCATGCTCAAGAGACACAATACAAGCTTTGAAAGTGACAAAGCTTGGTCAAAGCCCAACTTTAATTTGTGACCTTGGATGGATTGCCTATACTCTTGAGTCTTAGTTTCTTGGGGTGGGAAATATGAATTATTAATGGACAGCTTTCTTGCCAGGTCTCCATGATGATTCAATAAATGATCGAATGGAAATAATCTTGCATAATGCCTGGTAATTAGCTAAAGTTAATTCTCTACCTCTTTTCTCCCATGACCTTGGGCCTCAGTACTAAACACACTCTACAGTGCATAAGAAGAAGAGATCAGCATCGAGTTTTAACCTGGGTCTCAGCATCCTGCATATTTTTCTGTTTTCCTTCAGTTTATGAGCATGCCAGTTTCCTCTTATCTTTAAAAAGCCCTCTTTCTTCTCCAAAAAGTCCTCTAGATACTAAGACTTTCTTCCTTTTTATAGCTAAATGTATTAAAGCAGGAGTTTGCACTCCATGCTTCCACCATCTCATCTTCTATTTACCTTTAAAACCACTAGGGTCTGCCTTTTGTTTCCACACTCCAGTGTGTTTATTCTTGAAAAGTATTATACAGTTAGCCAAACCTACTGTTTCTTGGGCTCAGAATAGCACTTAACAATGTTGGCCATTCACTTCTGAAATACATTCTTTTTCACATTTCTAAGCTGCCTCTTTCTCGTGGCTTACCCTCAACCCTCTGGCTGTTCCACTTACTCTGCTCCTCTCTGAAATCACAGATATCCCTCGTCTGCAGTCTTCTTTTTAGCTCCTGCCTTAAACTCTCAATTTTATATCAATAATACTAGCCAATATTGATTGGTATTTACAGTGTGTCACTTGACTAAGGACTTCACATGCTTCATAAGATAGCTATTATGAATATTCCTATAATACAAATAAGGAAACCAAGGCTTGAAGAAGTGAGGGAACTTTTCAAGAGTTATACAGTACATAAGTGGTAGAGCCGGGATTTAATCCAGAAATCTGATTTACACCTACTTTTGTATTTGACCTCTCCTCCTAATTACCACATCCATATGCATGTTTTCAGCTACCAAAAAAAAATGTGCTGATGGCCAACAAGTTATATTTCTTGTCTAATATCTCTGTTGAGCCACAGACGTGTGATCCCTACAGCCTCCTAGATGGATTCATTTGCACGCACCACAGGCTTTTCCCTCTGTGTTCCCCAATCCCAACCTCACACGCATCAGAAAACCTGCCCTTTCTCTTCCTGACACAGTAAATGGCACCAGTTTAGTTGCTGGATGCCACTCTAGTCTGCCTCATCTCCACAGTCAGCTGGTTACCAGATCCTATCAAGTCTAGCACTACAACAGCTCTGGACCTCTCAGTCAATCCTCAATGATTATAGCCTTGTTTCAAGCCACCAACATTTCTGCTTGGATTACTACAGCTGACTCCTATCCCATCCATCTGCCTTATGTCTCACGACCTCCCCTCAATGCACCCTACTGCCCAGTTACTTTTCCAATCCATCAGTCTGATCACAATATGCCTCAGTAGCTTTCTGTTAACTTCATGATAAAGTACAAAGTCCAAGTTTGTCTGAGAAGGCTGTCAGTGATCTAGGCCTCCACCATTCTGTTAGCCTTCTCTTTTGCCAGATCCTCCTTGGCCATATCAAAATATTGTAATTTCCCAAAGAGGACATGTATGCTCACTATTCTGTGCCATTGCATGTGCTATCTCTATTGTCTGGGGTTTCTTTCCTTCCCTTACTACCTGGACAGTGCCTACCTATTCTTAAACACTGTATTAGTCCATTCTCACACTGCTAATAAAGACATACCCAAGACTGGGAAATTTGTAAAGGAAAGAGGTTTAATTAACTCACTTTTTCACATGGCTTGGGAGGCCTCACAATTATGTTGCTAGGAGGAACAAAGTCATGTCTTACATGGTGGCAGGCAAGAGGACTTGTGCAGGGGAACTCCCATTTATAAAACCAGGAGATCTCGTGAGACTTACTCATTACCATGAGAACAGTATGGGGGAAACCGCCCCCATGTTTCATTTATCTCCACCTTGCCCCACCCTTGACACAAGGGAATTATTACAATTCAAGGTGAGAGTTGGGTGGGGACACAGCAAACCATATCAAACACTCACTCAAGTATCACCTTAAACAGAAGATTTTTCTCCCTTCACAGATCAAGCAAAATGCAATCTCTTTCTTCTCCTTCTATGATTCTTTCAATACGCCTTGTCTGAATGAGTATCACACTGGGTTATGTAATAATTCACATATTTAATCCACCTCCCCAACTAGACTATGAGCTCCTGGAGAGCAGGGATTGGGTCTCATTCAGTGCAGTAGCCTCAGCACCTAGCACAGAGTAAGATTGCACTAAATATCTGTTGAATTAAAAAAAGTACAAATGAATGGACAAATAAAGAGCATATCATACTGTGGCTATCTACACAGACCTCTGTGTTTCCCACAAATCCCTAACAAATGCTTTTCAGCTACTTATGTCCAGAAGATGTTGATGCAGATATCAGTCTTGACACCATATGGCAGTCACAAGCCCAAGCATCCACCAGGAAATACACACCTGTAAACACTTTGGCTGACCGACACTGTCACAAAGAGAAAGGGACGCAGCCATCTGCGAGGAATGATTTCTGTGACCCTGGTTACAGTGGCATGTAGCTACTGGAGATATGAGCCAAGGCAGTCAGACAACATTTTGCACTTCAAGATTAAATCTGAGAGGATACTGACATGAAGAGAAGATTTACAACTGGGGCAGAGGAATCCACCATCTTCTTAGAAAATTGGAACAAGGATACATTTTTTCCAAATGTAAGAATTACACAGGGCAGAGAAGGGGGATTCAAACATTCCTCCTCTTCTGAGATTCTATTCAGGTCTTCATTGGAGAAAAGTCACAAAATAGAAAGGAAAATAAAACAAGAGGATAAGGGATTCTTTATTCTTCTGTTTGCTAACTGTGTGGTGGCAGAAATTGCTGCTAGTGACAGTGTTATTATATAGAACATGAAGAATAAAGCACCCTGAGAAGTGTCTATTTATAGAGCAAATACTTGGATACCATTGTGCAGTCTCCTGCCAATGGCAAGAAAATATGTATGGCCTATTGGAAACAGCCCAGAAGAAGACCTGGGTTCCAGGACTGACTCTTCCCTAATTAGCTGCCCTAGATACTGTTCCATGAGATTCCATTTCTCAGCCTGCAAAAGGAGAGGTGGAGCAGATAGTCTTTAAGGTCCCTTAAAGCTCTAAGTTTCCAAGATTCTCTCTCTTAATTAACTCTCAGCAGCCACAGAGATTCCCTGCCACAGTGAAGACTGGAATCCAGAGGAAGGCAAAGAAATACCTGGATGACCTAAGCAGTTGTGTCATAGAAGACTCAAGAATGAGATGGGTCAGGAATGGGAGAAAGGACATAGAATGATCTTGTCATATCTGTTGCCTATCTGCCACTTCCTCCCATTCTAAACTCTTGAGGTGAGACTAGATCACACACACTAAGGAGAAGCTTGGTACATTGGCTGGTGAGTAGCAAGCCAGCTCATCTTTCAAACACACCCACTAAATAAGTTGTTAAATTGAAGCTATCCTCAAAAAAAACAAAAAGTTAAATTCTCTATTCCTGGGGATGGGAGGGAACCAGTCACAGAAAAAAACAAAATTAGAGAGTCCAGTTGTGCTGGAGTTCTGAGAAAAGGAGTAAGTCCTTTCAGGTGACCTCCTCTGATAATGGATTTGAAAACGCTACTAAGTAGCAACTGTACAGCAGAAAAGATGGAACAGGTTTTTAAGGAGGCAAATAGTAAGTTACACTCTTTTTTAACCATATATGAAGCCATGTGAAATCAGAACACTATAGGGAACTTGGAGGGGCTCCAGAACCTGACAGTTGTAGACTCTAAAAAGAGCAAACAAGCTGTCCTGTTACACTAAGTTCATACATACTTGGCCCTCTGCACAATGCTCATATAAAAATAAACAGCTCAGGGACCTACAGAAAAGGGTGTGTCTCTGTACTCACTCCCAGTGCAGAGTCTGCTGTCAGTGACACGATCTTCTTATTGTGCCTTTTTCCATGCCTCCGTGTTTATACTTCTATTTATGCATGTACACATAATGTACTTAGCTTTGGATTTCTTTCTCCAAAAACTGTCATCCCTATTTTTAACAGATTTTTTGATCATTTAAACAATACATGAAAGGGAAAGACAAAAATCCTAAAGCAAATGGTGCATCATCCCTTCTCAGTGGCATTGTTGGTTCTGCAGTCACAATATGCTCTTTTACATACTCAACATGCGAAGAAACACATGCCACGGTTTGCCCTTATAGCTAACTTTTGTGCCTCCAGTCAGGATGATGTATTTACTATTTCCTTATTTCATTCTCCCTTCCATGTGCCATGATGGTTTTCCCTAGGAATCCCGTTATTGGTATTTATTGTTACTGTTGACATTGCTATGTTTTATTCCTACCTTATTTTGTTGTTGCTGGTAATTGGTTTGCAGCAGGAAACATATAACAAACACCCAGGCTGCACTGTGTTATTCAATGTCAACACCCCCTTTTCCTGGCGCCTCCTGGCTTGTTCCCTGACCACCTACCTGGATAAAGAAACTGTTGCTGGCTTGGGTCTGCAATGGTACCTGTGTTCTTCCTGACTTGAGGTGGCTCCTTTTTTTCTTTCCTTCTCTTGATTTCTTGGTCCCAGCACTCTGGACACCAGCCCTTGATCTGACACTCAATCCACAGGCTCTGCCCATTGCCCGTGGGCTCAATCGCTCCTAACCTAATGCCTCCACACTTCACTCCTGGACATTTTTCACTTGAATGGGGAAAGCATAGCACCCACGTATATCAAGCATGAATATAAAGCAAGGAGATTGATTTCACAAGCCTCATACCAAAATTAAGTCTTAAAGCTTTATAGTCATAGTCTATATTTGTCTGTTTATATTCCTATTTGTATATGTATATATAGAGATACTGAATTTAGATTTTTATTTCCTTCCCCTACAACTGTCATTCTATTTTTAACAGTTGTTTGACTCTTCAAATATGTTAAGGAAAGACAGAATTATGCAGGTAAGTTGCTGCTGCTATAGAACAGGTGGGAACCAAAAGCACAGTTTTTTTTAAAAAGTGTAAATTAACATTGTCCTTTGGGGACTGGATTTTAGAAAGTAAACCCAACAGCTAGTCAGAAAAATCTGCATTCTATTCTCATATCTGACACTATTGACCTGAAAATGAAGGCCATGGAATAAGAAATTACGTTCTTCACACATTTTCGCTGGGACAACGCTTAATTACAAGGGAATGCCCCTCACCTTAAATTGAGGCTCTTGGGTATTATATGCCAGTAGCAGCCCCCAGATGTCTTAGTCTGTTCAGGCTGCTATAACAAAAATACCATACACTGGGTTGCTGGTAAACAACAGAAATTTGTTTCTAGCAAATCCTGTCCAAGACCAAGATGCTGGCAGATTGAGTGTCTGGTGAGAGTCTGTTTTCTGGTTCATACAAGGTATCTCTTTGCTGTGTGTTCACTTGGAATAAAGTTCAAGACAGTCTTCTGAATCTTATTTATCAGGGCACTAATTTCATTCATGAGAGCTTTGCCTAATCTCCTCCCAAAAGCCCTACCTCTTAAACTCCATCACATTGATGGTTAGATTTCAACATATGAATTTTAGGAGGGAACTAACATTCACCATAGCACCAGACATCTCAAATACCCAACGCATGTCCACACATGTCCCAATGCCTCCTAAGGGAGCTGGACTACTTCCAATTAAAAAACAATGGATGACTTCATGATTCCATTTAAAAAGGCATTTGTGGAGAGTGGCTTAAGATTCTTATTCTTCATGAAAGAGGACAATGAGATTGATAGCATAGTGTAGTATTTCTAAAACATTATTTAACCTTATTTGAAACATTTTGGGCCTACGCATTAATGATTTGTGATAGACTACTACCTGGCTCCCCCAGATCCATTCTGTCTCTTTTCCATAAGCACAGGCATTTAGGTTGATGGACAACAAAATGGAAGAAATCTAAGTCCATCGGTGATACTGTGTAGCAGAACTACCCTCAGAGCCTGGACAAGCCAGACTAATATTTCCCATATGAGTCACTGTATTTAGGGATCCATGTTATAGCAACATAACCTTTACCCTGGCTTAGCTAAGAAGTTAGCAATAATATAGAATAATTATAGTAACAATAGCAAGTTATAATAATAATATAGACATTAGTATCTGGAAGCAGGATACTATGTAGCAAAGCCTAAAATATGTTTATAGCATATAACTATATATTTAGCATATAACTATATGTTTATAGCTACATAACCTTTACCTTGGCTTAGCTAAGAAGTTAGCAATAATACAGAATAATTATAATAACAACAGCAAGATATAATAATAATATAGACATTAGTATCTGGAAGCAGGATACTATGTAACAAAGCCTAAAATATGTTTCTAAACTAGTTTAAAAATTAGGTGGTAGGCAGAAGAAATAGAAAGTGTGTACTTCTATACCCTTTGTTATGCCATGCTAAAGCACTTGGTAAAATGCCCGCCTAAATAACTCAGAAAGCAAACTGTATGCCCAACAAGCCTATTGCTCCAGGAGAAGCAGTGAGAAAAAAAATAGAAATTATTCCTTACCACTTTTAACAAGATACATAAGAAAGAGATAAACTCAGGCAAGAATTTGCCTGTTCGAAAGCAGACTTAGAAAGAGCTATGGATCTACTAAGTGAGACTCTCCTTGCCTGCAGTCAGAAATGTAATTCTCCTGAGAATCCAGAAATGTGAAGTCTCACAGGACTGGAAGTACAATTGGTCGTACACCCAAGGATAGCAGAACATAAGTCTATTACCTGGAGCCTCTCTCAATCACCTCTCATAAAGACTTCTTGGCATGAGATGCATATAGTTGGGAAATCAATTAGACTGTTATCTTCCAGTCCAAACCTAACTACGGAATTGAGGGACAGAACAGGATGAGATGCCAATAAATGTAAGAGAATCAGCAAAAATAAGAACTTGTCTAGAAAAAATCTTTATGTAAGGCTACCTGTCAATAGAAATGACTGGAAGCAAATGGATTGAAGGGCCAAGTTTTCCAGGAAATTGTACTACCCAAGAAATCCCAGGCTGCTTCAGCCAGAAGCTGCTACAAAAACTCATACTGAATACCTATTTCCAATAGAGAAAAAACTCACAAGTAGCATTCTTGCAAAGGATAAAGCTAGGGTCCACAGCGGAGATGGTCAAGGGAGCTATCTCAGAAAGCAGAACCAGGGGTGGCCAGAAGGGCCAAAACGGACCATACTCCACTGCTGGGGTAGGAAGTCTTTAATAACTCAGGTTATTTTTGTAATTTGCTATGTTTGTAATTCTTCCCTTTTCTGAATGGGAGTTTCTCCCATTCAGTTGTAGTTATGTTCTAGGCTGGTAATTTGTCTATTGTCTTATGGTCCCCAGAATGCAGAACTTCATCTGGACCTGTTGGAGAGAACTACCACCCAGAACTCCTGAGCTTCCATCTGAGGCTGTAATAAATGAGGCCATAATTATCTTCCCTGACATTCAGAAAGAATCCCAAGGGAATTGTATATGGCAAGAAAGCATATACATGGATATTTAGGAGGCCAGAGTGGCAAATTACTAGCTGCCCCCAAATATTTTTATCAGCATCCAACTAGAAACTTCATTTTCCAGCCTCCAGTAGAATGTGAGTAGAAGCAATGTGTGCATTCTGAAACTTCATTGTTACTTTGTTGAAAAGAAATGTCTTGCTCTGGACTTCTCCCCTTTTCATGACATAAAGCACAGCCATGTTAAATGGAATATGGGTCCCTAAAGATTGTCCTTTATGAAACATAGCTGCCCCTATCACCTTGACCTGGACTGGCTAAAGTGTTACCTAAAAAGTAATCTCTATGTTACTCAAACCATTTCATTTCTAGTTCCCTTTGTTAACAACAGTTTAGCCCTTGCTGTAACTAATATATCATTCACATTTCTGTTCCTTTGTAGGGACTATGAAACTTTCTTGTCTAAGGTAGGGCAGTTCCAGGGAGCCATTCCTAGAAATAAAAGAAATCAATCCACAGAAGACAGACTAAGAAATTAAATGGGTGAAAAATCAAACACATCTATTTTACACCTCAGTGATGACTGGTGATAACTATTCTTATAAAGAGTGTAAATACCTTATTGTCTTGACAGTTTCTCTTGTGTCTTATTTCATAGGCCCTCTCTCCTTTCCTTTAATTGTTAGAGTAATACAATCTTATTTAACAAAACAATATATATTTATTGTATGCCTCCTACATTCCAAGCATACAATCTTTTTCTTAAAGACAAGAATGAAAAAAGTTGTGCTATTATAGTCAACTCCATAGTAGACAAAGGAAGAGAGAGTCTCAGATAGAGAACAGGCCAATCCTGGTGAATGGGTGAGAAAAGTGAATATGCCTCGGAGGTTAGCAATCTCTATGGGTTCCAGAAAAGTGAAATGTCAAGTGCACCATCATTATTCTCCCTTTTGTTTTCAGCAGGCCTTTTAGACTTTTTGCCCTTCCTAAGCATTCAGAAAGTCAATCAGGATGAAATTAAAGGGAAATAAATTAGAAATTGACCAAAGATAGGGGTGGATTGGAGTACGTGGTATATATTTGAAAACTTTATAAAGACATTCCAATCAGGGCATGAAAAAACTTCTAAAGCTATATTTCCATTTTTACTAGTGAACACTCCAACTTACAGGTGGATAGGGAACAGTGAACACAAAATTGTTTGATCCAGTAGGTTAAGTAGCAGGTAGAAGATAATAGAGAATAAATTGTCAGCAGATGTTGTTGTTGGTTCAGAGCCTGAGACTGCCAAATCAGAATAGGCTGTTGGGATATCGTGGAATATAAATGACTTTCTCACTCCAGGTTGTTTAATTTCACTGAGTTTAAACTTGCAACTATTTATTATGATGTGTCCTATGTAGCTGAAAATTCTCTAAGTTTTAAAAGTATTGCTTTCCACGAAAAGAAGTCAGTGTGGTAGACGACATGGTGCACATCAAGGTCCCCTCTCCAAGGACTGAACCAATGATGTGCTGGGGCCAGCTTTTGCTGGCCCGTGAGGGCAAATTGTGGGCATCTCTTCATAACTATTGTTCAGTGACATCATGACAATAGTTTGAAATTAGCAATGATGGGAGTAGTTACACCATGGAAACTGGTGAACACCACGAATAAAGATTAATTTCTCCCCGCCTTGCTCCCCCTGCCTCAGAGAGCTGGTTTGCCAGCACACTACTGCTGGGAGTACTGACAGCTGAAGTTCTCGGCTGAGTCAGGTCATATTCCCTTCCCAAGAACATCCTGCAACCAAGACTGGCCTATGCAGAGAATAAAGAAAGGCCCAGTCTCCTGGCTGCAATTCAGAGCAACTCGAAGCATCATTCCAGTCTTTGCTGTGACTGCATCACAGTTCGACCCCTCACTCTACCCAGTCATGGTCCTTCCACTCCCCTCCACGTGTTGATCAGAGAGTATTCTCCAATAAACCTCCCACACACCACTCTCTACCTTAAGTCTGCATCTCAGAAAACTCAACCTAGGACAGAGACATAAGAAGAATAGAAAATTCATCTCCTAGAGGTAAAATAGAAGATTAGTCTTTCTACAAAGATAAATTTAATACTACTTACTTGGCTTTGCACTGTTTTAAATGATTTATACAAACAGAGAAGCCAGAACAACGTTGTTGGCTTTCATTGATGTTGTTGTTATTGTAGCTGCCGCTGTCCTCTTTTTCCAGAAATCTCTTCTCTTGGGGATTTTTTTTTATTTTTTCAAGTTTTATTTTAGATTCAGGGGGTACATGTGCAAGTTTGTTACCTGGCTGTATTGCGTGATGCCGAGTTTTGGGGTATGAATGATCCCATCACCCAGGTACTGAACATAGTATTGAGGAATATTTTTCATGTGTCATTAAATATAAGAAACACCAGAAGTTTTCAGTTATGAAAAAACCATTTGTTTTTATCTGTTTAATTTCAGTAATTTTAAGAGTGAATACCCCAGTGGTTTTATCCTAAATTCAAAAGAAAATTATAAAAAGAGATCAAACATGATCAAAGGAACCAAAGAGAAACTGATTTTACTGACTTTTTGGATATAGATATTTATTTCCCAATCACTGTTTTCAATGTTGTTTTGTCCAACATTTTAGCTCATCTCTTACATTTCAGTCATTTCAGTTTAATCTCAAGTCATTAGAACACTCTTCGGCTTAAAGTTTCTCTCATATTCTGTTTACATCTGATCTCTGCCTCAGCCATCCCCCTGCCAAAGCCAGGTCTGTGGCTACAGAAGCTTGAGTGTGGACAGCACCGCAAGACCAACTCTTTCACCCCTGCTCAGCATCTCTAAGTGGATGGGGAGGGAGAGACTAATTCATCCCTGTACTTTTTCAAAGCTTAACTTCTTTGGGGTTGAAGTAGATGGGAGGCAAGAGAGAAAGGAAGGGGGCATGTTTTTTCAACAAACTGTCTTGATTGTAGTCCCTTCCATGTTGGTTGTCTATGCTTTCCTGGCTATCCTTGAATGGTCATCTCTGCCCTCTGAATTCCAGAAGTCCAAGAGCTGACTCTTTCAGGGGTTGTCTTCAGAGTTCATCAGGAAGCCCAGGGAGTCTTCCCACATCTCAGTTCTCTGAAAAAGGAAGCCAGATCTGGCTCCACACCTCCCAAAGTCCTCAGTTCTTGACTCCCCCATAGTACACGATGGATGGGGTAGAAACTGACAAATGCCCAACTATCCCATGAAGAGAGGAGAGTCCATCTGCAGCATGAAATGGAAGCCCAGGAAGCTTCTCTTTCTCCATGCTGCCTCAATTCTCCTTCGGATAGTCCGAGATGGGGAGCAAGAGGGAGCTGGAGTGCAGGTTGGGGTTCGTGAACTAACAAATTCCTGATCAAGTTTTCTGGCTCCAATTGTTACTGGCTCTTGGAAGTACTTTCTTTAAATTTGGGGGTGCTTAATATCTCCTTGTTCTTAGCTAAGAGTGCTAATCACCTATAAGTCAGGAGGAAAATTGCACTCAATATCTTTATAATTTTTAACTGGCACTTAAAACCAGTTCCAAAACCTGAAAAAATATTTTGCCAGTTATCAAGTTAGCCTACACTGTCTAGCAAGGCAATATAGACTTCCTGAATTTGGTACTTGAATTTCCAAAGTGCTTGTTGCACGGATTAAATGTAAGAGAAAATTGCTGCGTCATCTCCTCCCTTTATATTTGTAGATTCAGAATAGTATGATAGAAAATTTGATGATGAGCACATAACTAACACATTATTGGTTTGGTAGAGCCTCCTAGTCTAGTACATGGCTTATGATTATAGCATAAGTGGCTTGAAATTTTCTGTAATTATTCTATTTCAATCATACACATTAAATCCTGCTTTAGATAAGATTCAGCACAATATCGGGTTTTTATCTCATAACTAGATGCCATCATTAATTTGCTTTTGTAGTGTTTGAAAATAACCCTCTATCACACATAGTTTGCTTCATACAATTTTCCTAAACAACAACAAATTGAATCCTTAAGGGCACGTCTGTGAGAAGTCTATGAACTTAAAAAAAAAAAAAGAAAGAAAAAACAATATCGACCCTGTTTGTTAGCAACCACAACCTTGCTCCTCAAAAACATCAACTTAAGAAGAAAAAAAAAAGCACTATTGCCAATACAGTTTGGGCTCCCTTAATTTCATGCACTGTGACTTCAACAATTTCTCCATTTCTCATCTTATTTCTATAAAAGTAGCCTCATTTAAAAGCAGGGAAACCACATTTCATGCTCTTCAGTTTCATTAAAGTTATACAAAAGGAGCCTACCAAAAGAAGCCTCTCCTAATTAAACAGTTGTAGCAGATGAAAATATTGAAATGATGAATCTGAAAGGAAGCTGACACTATATATTCTCCAGAATTTTTTATCATGACATGAAAAAAGGAACTGAAAAATTAAGATCTGAATCCCAGGATGAAGTGTCACATATGTCATTATAAAAAGAAGAAATGAGGTGTAACCCACTGACTTCTTAAGGTAGTACAGGTGATAAGATCTGAGAGAACCTGAGAACAAAGGGATTTCCTCTAATCCTTCATTAGGGTCGGCTTTTTTGTGGTTCCCACACGGGGGTTGGCCATAATTTACTTATGTTGGCCCATGATTTTATGCATCCTTGTAAACTAATGGCAACGGCTGGTTGATACAGATGCCTTGGATTCCCAGGAGAGTGCTTTCATCATAATTCAGCCCAAGTTATTGAGTGTGCTGTTCAATGGGCACTTGAGATGAAGTGTTACCAAGAATAAGAGAGAGTAAAACTGAATGTGTTATTCCTCCCCTCCAGGACCTGTAAAATAAGCTTTCTTGATTGACAGACTCCTTTTTCAAAGTGGAAAGAGTAATGACATGCTTCTCAGAGGCTTAGGAAGGAGACTGCATTCTAGATGGCTTCTGCCTCAACTGTATAGGCAGGCAGAGCGAGGTTTATCAAGCGAAGACCATTTGGTCTGCTCTTGGTAGTTATTTTTTAAGTGAGCTTCATTTCTTACAGCTCAGATTCTCAACGACTTACCAAGGTCTAATAAGCAGCTTGGGAATCTATAGATTTCATATGAAGTTTTATGTTAATATACTTGTTGCCTAATTAATCATTGCCTTTGTCTCTGCCTTGAATTTTTTACAGGATATTCCTAAAATGTGCTTTTATCCCCATCCTATTAGACCCAAGCACTAGAATTAGGTATAAACAATTCTGATTTTTTCGATTCTTAAACAGTTTTGAAAGTTGAGCTCATAAAGGCATAAACGACTGATTATAATTCTTCAGATTATTTGAACATTCCTCATGTTTTG
Organism: Homo sapiens; assembly: GCF_000001405.40. Taxonomy (NCBI): domain Eukaryota; kingdom Metazoa; phylum Chordata; class Mammalia; order Primates; family Hominidae; genus Homo; species Homo sapiens. The sequence continues at coordinate 129,377,977 of NC_000004.12, read as the reverse complement.
TAATGCATTAGAATACCTTATGTAAGGGAGAAGGGGGCATTCACATTAAGACTTTATAAACTTACATTTGTATGTGTGTCTAATATGTACAGAAAGATGAGAGAGACAGAGAAGACCATATATGTGTATCTCTATATATGCACATATATATATATAGACCATTTTTTGACATGTAGCAATAAAATGTCTTGTTCTAACAAAATCTGTATATTACAACAATTTTCCAATATTGAGAGTAAATACTGTAAGGAAGAAGTATTGCATGAGTAAGCCATATCCCTGAATACTGGTGAACAAGTTAGGACAGTATGACTTAGGCACACACCCTTCCCAAGAAAACAAAGGAAGAGGGAAATGTGGCTAATGCTTATTAGAAGTTTACTCTATGCAGAATTCTGCTCGTCATGTTTTAGAAACAGCCTTTAAGTAATGATATTTTCTACATTTTACAGATGAAAAAGCTGAGGCTTAAAAGCACAAAGTTACTCCAAAGGAGAGGGATGATAGAGTTAATCGTCTAAACCAGGACACATCTGAGCATGAAAGGAGGCAGTCACTGCACAGGATGCTAGAACAAACGGAAGGTATAAAAAGGGGTTGTCCTGGGCAAACCAGAACAATATGTGTCATCCTACCCCAAAACGTGGTACAGCTAGGATTCAAACCTGAGCAGATTGGCTCTGAGCCTGGAACCTTAAACACTAAGCTATACTTAGTAGTTAACTTCCTTCCTCAAGTTGAAAAAAAAAAAAAGGAATAATGTGCTTTGAAAGCACTCTGGTATGTTATGTGTAAGTAGCCAAATGCAGATCAAAGAAGAAGGTTGCACTGACACATGCAAACAACTAATTAACTAGGACTAGTATCTTGCTGGGAGAGTGGGGTTCTAAAATCAGCAAGTAATGCGAAAATTGAGTAGACTCATACTGTACTTTAAAAGCCTCACAAGCACCAACACCATAAGAAACAACAGGAGAACTGATTCCAGCTGTGGAAACAACAGATCCCTATGTAGTATCTCTTGCTCTCTCTTTCTCTCTCTTTCTTCTGAAGATCTGCAGTTGGATTCTGGTGAGTTTAAATGAGCATAGCATGCAATGTCATTGAATAGCTCTGAATAGAATAAAATTTGTGCTCTGGAAATATCAAAGAAATATGGTAAAGAAAAACCAATAGGGAAATAGTTTAGAAGGCACTTACATAGAGGAATTTCATTTGAAGTGAGTACTTGAAGGATAATAATAATAATAATAATAATAATAATAATAATGTGCAGAAATGGGGGTTAGGACATACCAGTCCGAGACTACAATGTAAGAAAAGGCAGCAGACTCTTGAAAATGCCCATGCCTAGAATATCGGATCCACAGAATGTAGTTAAAGAATAAGATTATGAAGAACCTTGAAGGTCAGCTCAAGGAGTTCGTTCCTCATTCTCTGATCAGTGTTTGGTGACCTTTGGTGTGAATCAGATTCACTCATGAAGCTTTTCTTATAAAGGCATTATCCAGTATTACGGAGCCAGCTGCAAAGGAACAAAAGCTGCAGCAGTTAGAAGCTGCTCCTGAGGCCTGAGAATGGATTTGACATTGAGATGTGGAGTTTTCACTTTCATGTATGCCCTCTGGTGCTGGGATTTTTGTTATTGTTGAGACATGGTCTTGCTCTGTGGCCCAGGCTGATATGCAGAGGTACAATCTCAGCTCATTGCAGCCTCCACCTTCTGGGTCTCAAGCAATACTCCTGTTTCAGCTGCCCAAGTAGCTGGGACTACAGGTGTACACCACCACAACCAGCTGATTTTTGTCTTTCTTGTAGACAGAGGTTTCACCATGTTGCTTAGGCTGGTCTTAAACTCCTGGGTTCAAGCAATCCTCCTGCCTCAGTCTCCCAATGTGCTGGGATTACAGTCATGAGCCACTGCACTCAGCTGGGATTTTTTGAGTGGGAGATGGGAAAATTATTGACAGCAACAGGAGGCAGAGAAATTCTAGGCAGACTGGGATGGATCTCTGGCAAAACTCAATATTTGACCCAAAAAGCCTGAAACTCATGGCTCAAAGTGAGAACTTCCATCCCTATGTCCCCACTCTCTCCTGATTGGCTCTTTCTGAATAATGTATTTTTACCAATTGAATGTTGCCTTTTCCAAAACTACCTATCACCCACCTGCCCCCATCCTGTGCCTATAAAGACCCCAGACTCAGCCAGCAGACAGGAGAAGTGGCTGAATGTCGGGAAGAAGTGGCCGGACGTAGGGGAGAGGCGACTTTGACTTCAGAGACACAGCTGGACAAAGTAACTTGACTTCAGAAGAGAGAGGCAGAGAGGCAGCTTGACTTCAGGGGAGAGCAACTTTCCCTTCCAGTCCCTTATCCAGCTCCTCCCTCTCTGCTGAGAGCTGCTATCATCACTCAATAAAAGTATCCACATTCACTATCCTTCAATTCTGCCACATGACCTCATCTTCCTGGGCACAGGACATGAATTCAGGATGCACTAGGTGCAGGTACCCAAAAAGGCTGTCACACTGGACCTTTGCCTTGGTGACAGAAGGCAACCACCCCATGTGATGAGGCAAAGGGCCCACTGAGCTGATAACACACTGCTGTCTGTGGACTGCAGAGCTAAGAGAGCATTGTAACATGCCTCTGGGACCTTGGGACACAGGCACTCCACCTGGGTGCTGCCGCGGGACCCCACACAGAGTTTGCTCCTACCGGCACCAAAGCATCTGGTTCCTGCACTTGATCTCTCCAGTTCCTGGACTTGTTCACTCACATGCTCCCTTCTGTGAGGGTCTGAGCAGGGCAGGCTGAGTAAATGAGGCACCCCTGTTGCAAGACCCATGAAGGGGTCAAGAAAATATCCTACATTATTATCTTGTACATGTAATTCTTTATAATTAAACAATTATGTAAACATACATAATCTATCTGCTCAGTGACCAAATTAGGAGTAGCCGTCTAGGGTGAAACATGAGCACCTGGATATTTAAAATGCTCTAAAGCTGAGACTCACAGGCAGGGAAGCCAGGAACAATTGCTATCAGCAGTGGTGAGCTACTACAGGTTTTTGTGATCTTATCTATGTTTTAGTAACCTTATCTATGTTTTTTTTTTTGACAATTTTCTGGAAAGGAAAGAAAGTTGAGGCCCGGAAAACGTTTAGAAAAATTCTGTAGTAATTTAAGGACCAGTGGCATGAGCATGGAAAGGAGAAATCTCAGATTTTTAATGTCAAATGGAAAACTAAGATTACCAAAAGATTACTGGCAAACATTTTATGCTATTCTCTATTACATAAGCTTGCTGGAATAGCTTCACATAGTTTGAATAACAGAAGAAACTGCTGAAATAAAAATTATACAAGCAAAAGAGGTGAACAATTCTACAAGCAAGACAGCATGTTGTTATATTCCAATATATGTGTCTTTGTAGTCAGTACATCTGACTTCAACCCTAGCTTTGACATTTATTGTCTAATCCTGGACCTAAACCTCTCAAGTTTCAGATTGTCATCTGGAAAATGAGAGTTGTACCTGTCACTGACACCAGGAACTTTTTTTTTTTTAACAGCTGTACACTTATGGGTCCTAGGGTAATTGAAACATAGGAGAAACCTATGACCCAAAATCTTAGAAAATGATATAGTCATGAATACTAACTAGACATCGTGGGAGCAGTTCATGGGAAGCTCCCACCTGTCTCAAACAAGGGACAAGCTGACCTAGACGTATGAAGGGACTCACTGGAAAACCAATGGTTTCTACCTCAAGATCAAGCATTCAGCTCCAGATGTGTCAATGGGAATCATCTTCTGCACAGCAAGAAACATCTCAACCAAATGTATGATGTTTACTTCCCAGTGAGGTATTTTCCCTGATTTCAGTCAGCTTCCCACCAATATATGACTCTCATCCAGTGCTCTTTTTCTCACAGTCTCACTATCTCCTAATGAAAGTAAGTGAAATGTGATGGATACATCTATTTCCTACTCATCACATGGACAGATGCTTCTTGCAGTATAGCACAGCAATCTAGAGCTAGCCTGCTTTCCACAGACTGAAACCCATTCAAGACTTTCTTTACTTACCTCATTCTTATGACTCCCAAAGACACCTTCCTTACAAGATCATTGTAAAGATCAAAGAGAAAATGGATATAAAACATCCAGCACACAGTTGACACTGAACAAATGTCATTTGTTAGTTTCAGGTTCAAATCTTGGTGCCACTTACAAACTATAGGGCAAGCTTCTTCATCTGTAACCCACACGAATAATATCTACCTTGAAGAGTTGTTATAAAGATTAAATAATAAAACAGGATAGCATATATGAGCATTCTACTCACTTACAATGGCTTCCTTCTTTCTAGTTCTACTCCTCCAAAAAAGCATAATGCCATGGAATTTTGGAAGGAATAAAAAGGAGGTAAACAATTGGTTCTCAGAGCAACTGGTTCCAGGGCAGGGTCTGGGGTCAAACTGTCTGAGTTCAAACCACAACTCTCCCAGCTCTGTAACTTTGGGCAAGTTGTTCAATTCCTCTGTGCTTCAATTTCCTCATCTGTAAAAGGGCATAGCAATAGTATCTACATCATACAGGTAGTTGTAGGATTCAACCAATTGATACATACAAAGTACTTAGAACAGGACTCAGCACTTAATAAGTGTTCAATAAATATTACCTAGTATTGGCCAGGAGTGGTGGCTCACGCCTGTAGTCCCAGCACTTAGGGAGGCCCAGGCGGGCAGATCGTGAGGTCAAGAGATTGAGACCATCCTGGCCAACATGGTGAAACCCTGTCTCTACTAAATATACAAAACTTAGCTGGGCATGGTGGCATGCACCTGTAGTCCCAGCTACTCAGGAGGCTGAGGCAGGAAAATCACTTGAACCTGGGAGGCGGAGGTTGCAGTGAGCCGAGATCACGCCACTGCACTCCAGCCTGGCAACAGAGTGAGACTCCGTCTCAAAATAAATAAATAAATAAATAATAAATAAATAAATAAAGTTACCTAGTATTATTATTTGTTTGACAATTCTCCTTTAGACTTTAAACCATAGCAAAAAGAATCAGGGCGTACATAGTCCCTATAGGGGAGAGGTTATTTGTGCTCTTCTCAATTGTTGTGGGTGGAATCACTGTCAGCTGTGGCATTCCTAGGTTCATCTGCTTTCATACCTCCTGAATACTGTATGAAAATAAAAACTAATTCTGCTACCATAAAAAGGACACTTAGTGGCATTGACTTTGAAAGTTTGCTATAATCACTCAAGCTTCTTTTTGCTGTTAAAAGAGAAACAAGGTTTAAAAAGATTCTGTGTTTCAAAACAAATAACTCTAGGCAAACATTATTGCTAAATAACTGGTTATATACTGCCCCAAGAAAAGAACAGTTTCAAAAACTTGATATGGAGAACACAATCCAAACTTGTGTGTGTGTGTGTGTGTGCGCGCGTGTGCGTGCACACACCCTCACTCAAGCAAGCACATGCACATAGATACACATACATTATTTGCCTTTGTGTCTCTGGAAAAGATGGAAATGGTCTGAAATCAAGCAAAACAGATGGCTGAGTGGGCTTGTGAATCGCCTATATCTCAAGGAAGTTAAGAAGTCATTGCAGCAGTTTTTAAGGAGAAATATGTAAGTTTTTAGAAAGTTTTCATACTGTCTTGTCTATCGCTATGCAGCTTAGAATATGTACTTTTGAGATTACTAAAGAGTAGGACTCTGAGGACGCCTTAAAATCTGAGTGAAATAGTGCAAGAGCTTCTGTTCTGGATACTCTTCTTTATAAACCAGAAATATATTGGTGCTCTAACATAATTGGATACAGATGTGCTTTGCATCACTCACTAGTTATGTTTCTGAAAGAGTTTTACAAAAGTTGAAGAAAAATAATTTTGTGCTCACCAGAAGTGCTTACTGTTCTTAAAGGAATTTTATGTTTAAGCCTTTTATAAAGCAGTGAATCTTTTGTGAATATTCTTATCCTGTAAGTGTAAATAATCATTATTTTTTACACGGTGCACTGTCCTGTACATGTGTCAGAAAGATTGAGCCATATGGGCAGCACCTTAGTACGACCAGCCTCATCTCTCTCATCCCACCTGCCCCCTCACCTCCTCACCTCCCATCTCCTCTCCTACACACAAACACCAGATGAGTCTCCCTGACATGTTATTTTACAAAGATTTTTAACTGGCGATGAGGGCCTTTTATAAGTTTACCCCCAAACCTGTAAGAGCTTTGAAAGTGCTTGGTCATCTGGCTTGATCTTTCACTCCTTAGATCTTTTCTGCATGGAATTTTGGCATCCCAATCAATTCCGATCTTTGTCCCCTAGACTTTTTTGTATTCTAGCCCACACTTTTTCTTTGAAATTTTCTCTGACACACATCACCTACCTCATACCTTACCCCAACACACACATAGTAATTTTTTCCATTCTGTGAATACCCATGGTTTTCTTTCATTTGAATTCCCTTAAATTCTTTCTCATAGGATAAATATATTTACACAAGTCTCAACTGCCCAACCAGTTTGAGGACTTTCTGAGGGTAGTAATTTACAGTCTTTCATTGTGCTCGCCCGGTGCCTGACATAAAGCCTGTACTCACTGTTCTGCGAGGATGGGTTTAATGTCATACACATGCTCTACACACAGCACTGCCCTGGATGCTGCAGGAAATATGAATAAGACTCAGTCTTTACCTCAAGTATAATCTGCTGGAGAGAAATGGAAGCCTCCAGTCAGTACAGAAGACAGACTATGAGGAGGACAATAAGGAAGACATAAACAATGGGACGGGGCAGGAGACCAGATGGCTTGCAGCAGTCAGGATGAAAAAATATGTCATGGAAAAGATGGCTTTTGACCTGGGGTTAGAATTTCAATGGGCAGTAAATGAAGCTAGTCAAGAAGCAGAGAGCCAACTGAGCACAGATCTCTGGGTAAATATCCCCATTTTGGTGGAAACTGAGCTATGAGACAGTGGAAACCTAAGGCTGGTTAGTGTGGGTCATGTTTTAAGGACCTTAAAGCCTTGCTGAGAATGTACAAAGGGGTAAATCATAATCCTCTATATTCTCCACTTTGCAACCTAGCAGGGATCAGGAAGAGATTTCTGTTTTTATTGGTAACAATGGGTTGTTAATACTGGAATTACGCAGTGCCTGAAATCCTAAATTAATTGAAAAGCAAAGCCTGCATTAACCAAACTTAGGAGCTTGCACAGTTATTCCTCAAAGCCATAAATCAGAACAAATCAGCACAGAGGCAACTGGGCTTTCTACCAAACATCAGTGAATTTCACCTGAATTTTTCTCTCAGAAAAAAAAAAGAAGAAGAAGAAAGAAAGAAAGAGGATAAGCTTCCAGTTACATTTCAGTTACATTTGCCAGAAGGACAGATTCACTGTAACTGTGTAAATATGTCTGCCTAGGCTCTTATGCACACCTACATGTAGGAAGATAATTAATTGATACTTTTCTCCTCATTTATAATGATGGCTTATTTCTAGGAGGAGGCCATATAGATCAGGTTGAAATAAATTTATTCTCCCCAAAGACAAATGCTTATTTGTCATTCCATTTTTTTGTCTTATAAATAACAAATTATTATATTTATCATAGTTCAAGTACACTTAGAGGAGAAAGAGAAATGATTTAAAATACATCTGATTTTTTGTCTAAAGTTTTTAATCACATAAAGAAGAGCAAGAGTCAATGTTCCCAGAAAGTACCCCAATTTTTCTCAAACTAGTTAAATTTTTATATTTCTAGAAAGTAATTAGAAAATCACATATTAAAATTGGAAAAACTATCTTTTGGGCATAAGATTCATTTTTCTACTGGTCAACAGTACTTCTCAGTATAAGTTTTTGTGCTTTGTTCAGTCTGATTCTAAGTGTGGTCTCCCCTACCAGGGAGACTTTTTGTTCCTTCCAAATTTGTTGCCTTTCTGAAATTTTTTCTGATATTCAACCTAAACCTCTCTTTTCTTTTACCCTATTTCAGAATATATGTTCTGAGGATGCCAAGCCACAGAAGCCTACATTCTAACTGCTGAGATTTGAAGTTGTTGTTGATTTTTCTTTTTTTTTTTTTTAATCCATTAGCCATATTCTCTTTCAGCTGCTGAGGAACAGATGTTGAGCTTCTAATAAGAAAAAGCATGAATCCCATAGGAAAACAGCATCTCTGGTTCTAAAAGCAATATCAGAACAGAGCAAACTTCCTAATATTTGACTAAATTTTGCTTAGAAATGAAATCCTATGGCCTTTTCTGTGTACATTTGCTAATGTTTTAGTCTAAAATAAACTAGCAAGGCCTTCTCAGTGTTGAAATACATGCCCTTCCAGCTGCAGTGATGAACTGTGCTTCATACCAAACACTGGAATTTCTTTTCTGTGATTAGTTTACCATACTTGTAAGCCGGAGCTTACTACTTACTATATATAGAGTCGGGTGGAAGATAGAAGTGCATAATCGTTCCTAAATCATAAGAAGTATTCTCAGTTCATGCCATACCATAGAAAAATAAAGTTTAAAGTGCAATCAGGTGCTTTGATAGAAAACCTCAGTTCTTTGATCACTTCTGTAGAGGTATATGCATTAATGTCAAATCATCACTTGATGTGAAAGCCCAGATTTTTTTATAAAAAATTTCCTTTTATAGAATATTGAAAGCAGACAGACAAGCAGTTAAATGCCTTTACGCTTTTTAACTCTGGCCCCCTGGCAGGTATTCTAATGAGTATGAGAATAATTGAGAACCACATTTTGAAATTGTCTAGAAATTGCCTAAAATTTTGGATAGTGGATCATTTTAAGACAGTAGAATCTAGGCTGGTGTTAGGGGTTTAAGGTCGTTCAGAGCCGACCTGTGTTGTCTTCCTTTTTGCTTACCCTAGCACCTAACATAGTGTCTTGCATTGAGCTAACGCTCAACAAATATGTGTTACTTACTTCATAAATATTAGACACATTGTCACCACAGAGAAGTTACATGGTCCTGCTCTACTATCCCTTTGTTTGTGTAGATTAATTTTCCACTCTTCAACACAACTTCATTGCTTAAATGGTAACTGTAGCTAACATTTTATATGCCAGGCACTGTTCTGAATGCATTATGCATATTGACTTGTTTAATCCTTACAATGACCCTATGTCTGATGTATAATTACAATCCCTATTCTACAGATAAAGCAACTAAGGACTAGAGAGGCTGACTTGCCCAAGTTTACCTACAGAGTAAGGGGCAGAATTCAAAGCCAGGCATTTTATTTGCAATGCCCATTCTCTTAAAGCACTACTCGCTCTCTCCATAACGTCCCTACCCCTTCCCAACCTCCTCCCCGCTAATAACAGTGATTCTCAAACTTAAGTCTGCTTCAGAAAAATGTGGAGAGCTTCTTATAACATTGATGCCTGAACCCCACCTCCAAGTTTCTGATTCAGAAGATCTTGGGTGAGGCCTGAGATTTTGCATTTCTAACATATTGCCGGTGCTGCTGCTGCAACCACCCTGGGAACTTTGCTTTGAGAAGCACTGTTCTACAGAGTCACTGTCTTTAAAAGATGCTATCAATTTGAGGCTTAGTCAATAGTATCTACAGCGTGGAGCCTATGCATTCCTATCAAGGAAACCTCACAACTTGTTGACTTAAAGAACAAAGTTCATTTATTTCTTGCCCAATGACCTAGGACAGCTCACATCAGGATTGCCACTCAGGATACAGAATTCTTTCATTTTGTTGCTCCCCCGTTCCCCAGTATGTTATGATCCACATGGTCAAAGCTGGGACTCTGTCACATGCATGTCCCATTTAGTAGGAAAGGGAAGATATACCCAATAAACGAAGGTCCAGATCCAGAAATGACATGTTGTTTCTACTCACATTTCAATTGCAAGAACTAAGTCATCTGACAACAGTAATTGCAAGGGAAATTTAGACATGTTCCATTATACCCTAAAATGGAACATGGAGAAAACAGATTTGGCAATTGATATGCAATCATTGCTACAAATATACCACCTCATATTTCTACATTGTCCCTTCTCTACACATGACCTGCCATCCTCACTGCACTGAATATTACATGTATATTGTATGTTCTCATTGGGCCTAAAGCAGTTGAGCTTTCCACATATTTGCTGAGGTACTCAACAAATATGATAAAGTATATGATTAACCCAGTTACCTAGAATAAGGTCTTTAACTTACCTACAGTTATTTAATTTATAAAAGCACACTAATAATTTCTATCCTAGCAATATTTAAAGATGCCCTACAAAGAATACAATTATGGAATAATAAAACATTATTTTATGAGTTCTTGGATTATATCAGGCAGTTCACAAAGCATTTTATGTAAATCATGCATTTAACCATCACACAAACTCTAAAGACAGATATTTCATAAAGAAATCTCCATGTTTTGGGTAAGGAAACAAAAGCAGATCAGGTACCTGGTCCTAAGCACACAGTTATTAATTTGTAGAACTGAATTTTGAACACACACAGATATGACTCCAAGTCACTGCTTTTAACTACTATTGAATCTTCAAAAATATAAACATGAAATGATCAATTATTTAATGTATGCATTGAGCCACCTTTGAAAGATTAGAATGTTATTCCTGGCATTAATAGTTTGATGATGTTCCCTAAGAGATTATTGCATGGATTCACAGGAGTCTCCCTTGAAGGCATCTGACCCACTGGTCCTGGAGCCTTGCCTGGCACTACAATTATCTGGGAAACTTCTAAACAGTGTCGCTGTTTGAACCCACCCCAGATCAATAAAGCAGCATCTCTGGAGTAAGAATCAGGCCTCCATATGCTAGATATGTTTTAATTGTGTTGATATAACCAAGGGAAATAATTCAACCAGCGAAGGGGTGATTATGCCAACTCAAGAAACGGGGAAACTGGCGAAGGCCTGGAGCCCCATTTTGTGGGTGAACTTCCAGTCTTCATTCTCATTCCACCCAAGTGTATCATTAAAATGTCACCAGCACTTACCTAACCCCTAGATGCTTTTCAGCACACTTTCCTCAGTTTAGATAAGTTTTCTTTTAATGATTGGTACTCTACAACCTTGCCTCCAGTGCTAGGATACAGATATACTTTTTTGGACACTATTTAATAAAAATAGCCTTGGTTGGCCACCAACATGAGCCTTACTCCAGATTCCCCAGGGTGACAAATAGCACGATCATGTTCCAATATTGTTCATGTGCTTTAAGACTGTAGTTAATCCTCTAGGATGTTTTCAGAACCTGCTAACAATTACAACTCAAATAACATTTACATTTTCACCTCTGTTAAATAAGTTATCTGTTGCTCTCAAGAGAAGAAAGCATTCCTTCTTCTGGAAAGAAAAAAAGAGTTAGTGATGCAATATAAATTTTGCAGTTTACCTAAATTTTAATATTTGACCTGTGGCAGAGACTATTAGGTGTTCTCCAGTATCCATCTTCGTCTTCCTTATTGATGCAGTGATGGAAACCCTGCATATTAGTTGGTCACACGAAAGCACAAAATAAAGACCATCTTGAAGCTAAGTGTGGCCCTATGACTAAGTCCTGGCCAGTGGAATATAGGTGGAAGCAATTGGTGAAACCACTAGGAAGTCACCTTAAAGAGGGAGCATGGGCCAGATGCGGTGGCTCATGCCTATAATCCCAGCACTTTGAGAGGCCAAAGCAGGAGGATCACCTGAGGTCAGGAGTTCAAGACCAGCTTGACCAACATGGTGAAACCCCATCTCTACTAAAAATACAAAAATTACCTGGGTGTAGTGGCACATGCCTGTAATCCTAGCTACTCGGGAGGCTGAGGCAGGAGAACCACTTGAAACCAGAAGGCAGAGGTTGCAGTGAGCCGAGATCGCGCCACTGCACTCCAGCCTGGGTGGCAGAGTGAAACACTGTCTCAAAAAAATAAAAATAAAAGAAGTGAGGTAGCATGTCTTTTTACTTCTCTTTTCTTCTTCCTGCTGCCTGAAATGAGGATACAAAATCCGGCCCTGCCATCTCTGACAAAGACACAGTCACTGCATGTTGAGGATGGCAGATCAGTCAGGAGAGATGAACCTGGATTCCCAGGGATGCTGGCACTGGGGCACAAGCCAAGGACTGCATTTCCATTTCTTTCTCGTTAAACCCACTAAACTTTAGTGTTTTTGTCACTTTCAGTGGAACCTAATTCTAACTAATATCTTGCCACTTAAATAGAAAGTCAGAAATGGATTAGCAAACTATTACAGAAAATATTTATATATTTAAAAGCAATCGTTTGAAACTGATATTTTGTGATTAAACAATATACTTTCTCATTCTTGTTTGCTCTTTCCTTGAGCTGTAAGATGGAAAGAAAAGGCAAAATATACAGCTCTTGTGGAGGGAAATGTGAGAGTTTGAAATCATTTAATGTATGAAAAAGTAGTTGCTAGGTGACTGTTGTCTGAAAGCTTGCTGAGGTGTGTTGGCACCTAAAGAAAAATGCAAGTAGGAGTAATGTTTTGTACGTTTACCCCTTAATGAAGATGCTGCATGATTTTTAAATGGTGAAAACTAAGTAAACAAGCAAAGGAAAAAAACACATTTTTTCACACAAGCGAAAGGAACTTTTATTTTCAAGCAACCACATCCTCCAGAGGGAGCAGCGGCAATTGGCTCATGTGCACAGGATGCGCAGGCTTCTCATGGTCCCCCTGTTGCGGGCATGCAGCACTGTCTCTGAGGTTCCAGAAGCAGCTGCCACGAAACTCAATTTTAGCTGGTAACACCTGCCAGAGGCTGAGTCTCTTTGGAAGAGGGGCTTAGGTGCTGAGGGTCCTTTTGACAAGGGGAAGCCCAGGCTGATTCTGGTGACAATCTTGTGTCACATATAGTGAATGTGCTGATGGGGAAGCTGAGGGGAAGACAGACACAGAAGTTCTTCATGACAGCAGAGAGAGAGAACGCGGTCAGACCAGAAATAGGTCAAGAGCACACTAAGCACTGCTCTCACTCAGATCAACCACTGCTTCCCTGGCCAAGAGAGCCTGATGACGGCAGGAAAAAAATCACTCCTCCCCACTCATCCCCTTCTACCAGACCTTCCCAGTGGTTCTTACCAGCTCTGACTTTTAAACTTCTCTGTCAAAATGCGGCTAAAATCTCCAACTGAATACAAAGGGAGGTATTTGTTATCATTAATAATTTAGAGAACTGGGAATAAAGTTGGTCCTATTAGATATGAAAAGAAGCGGTGGAGAAGGTCAAAAGCCAAGGCTTAGTGAAGCGAAAAATTCTAGTGGAAATATTAGAACTGGAGAGGCAGATCTGACCTATGAGTACAGCTTCCAACGCATCCTCTCCTTGGCTTTTTTATTAATTTCAATTATTCGATTGCCAGTTTTGACCTGTGGAAGTTCGGATGACACCCACACCCCAACAAAAATATATCTAATGATGAAACCTTGTACTTTGAATCTACCCACATCATTTAACTGCAGCCTCAAACTTTACCCTGACCCCTATAGGTGAAAAGCAATACGTTATCATGCCATCCCTTTATGGTTTGAAACGTACACACAATCAAAGCAAGGAGACATTGCTCATTGGGTGAATGCGGGTCTTTTCCTGGGTTTATAATGTTTCAGGCTGCGATGTGGGAGGAGAACAAAGTGCAGGCGCCAAGCGGCCTCTCCAGCAAAGCTACTGTTGTCTCCCACCAGGCAACAGTATTTGCAGGATTGTAATTATTATTATTTCCTTTTATAAAAGACCAGTTCAAAAATCCCGAATAATAATTTACCTCCCAAGAATTTGCTCATTATTTAGTTATTCCATCCCTTCTGCTCTTTCAAAACCTTATTTTTGCAGCTAGGCATGCAATAATCTCCCAGAGTTTCTGGAGCAGGTCTTTTTCTATTCATGTGATTGCAAACAGAAACTCCTTATTCAAGAAGGAAAAGGTTATTAAACCGAGTGAAGGCCTTTTTATATTAAAATAGATATAAAAAGATAGGAAAGAACTGTGACTGCGATCTCAACGGTGAGGCATGCTGCAAGAGGCGTGAGCCGTGCACAGCCCTGACTCGACCTGTCCAGACGGGCACCCTGCCAGCAGCAGTAAATTTAAAAGTCAGTTTGTTAATAACTTCATTTGCAATGCATTTGGTTACTTTTTAATATCTGCTTATTGTTTCCTGGGTGTCCAGGCATGTTTTCTAAATGAAATTCAAGTGAGTTATTAAAACCTTGAGCTGTTATGTTCTGAGACATTCATCTGGTGAACTATCTAAATTTTCAAAGTGCATCTGAGGTCAAAACATGAAGTAGCTCCAAACTTATGCATCCTTATTTTACTGACCCTGAAGCTTAGGTTCACTTAGCATTGTTTGGAGGTTGGAATGGAGGCTGATTGTTTGTAGAAGAAAGTCTTATCGTTTTTGTCCTTCGGTCTATCACCTTTCTGAGGAAGTTACTCACTCCTCCCTGTCTCATGCCACTCTCTGGACAATTCTCTTTTGTAAAGCGTATTCAACCACAGTGCAGTCCAGAGATCTTAGCCATTCTCTCCATCACCCCTGTCCTGATGCATAAATTGGCCCAAAAGCATCCCAATTGCCCTCATGACTTCAAGACATAAAAATTACCAGCCGGCACTCTGAGCACCCCATGGGCATTACTAGGAAATAAAGCAGAAAAGTCGTATTAAGCCATCTTATTGGGAGTTATCAAGAAACAAATGAACTAATTATTATTTCTTTTCTTTTCCCAGTGATTTGCAATTCCTGGATGACACCTGAATTTTACCAAAAGGTTTCAAGGCAACCCTTTAGAAAGTGACCTTTTGCTTTCCCCATTTCCTTTGCCCTAAGTGTTAATTGACTTTGAAAAAGCAGTATATTATCTTTTCAGAAAAAAGAAAAGGATAGACCTTATTTGTGAACACCAACATCCTACAGCATCAAAGCGTTGTTTAAATCATCGCACAGCAGAGCTGAGAACAACTATCCAGGAGAGTGAGATTTAAAAAAAAAGAAAAGAAAAGAAGTCTTAGAATGAAAGAGTGCTGCTGCCATCTAGTGGCATGGGTGATCGTAGGCAGCTATCAACAACATCAACATACAGGAAAATAATGTTATCATCCAGCTTTGAGGGGAAATTTTCTAATTCATTTTGTGTGCAGAGGTCACCTTTACTCATTCTTTGTCCTAGCAAAGGCATGGACTTTGTAAAGACAGCTATATGTGGGATTTCGTGAAAAAAAGTTCTCTCCTAGTAAAATGCTTCCCTGAGTTACTGACAGGTACATAAGAGTTAGTGTGAGTACCTGCATAATTGTGTAAAGTGGCTTTGCTTTGACACTTACAAGATCACATGCAGACTTTCCTTTAATATGTAGATCCAGAACCACTGTACCTATATTCTTCTATCCCTCTACAGCATTGCTTCCTTACAGCATAATTTGTCTTACGGCATAAAAAACATTTCTTTTTCTTTTAAATTTTCGCCATTCACCTAAATGAAATTGTGAAGATGTGTAACATACATTAAATTAAAAGAGCCTAGCAATTACGGAAAATAAGAATTATAGTTTTTTAAAAAACAAATTAGGAGCCATTATTAGGCGTATAGAGCTTATACAGCATTGGAGGCTAAAAAAAAAACAAGGGTGTTAATGTTCCCATTAATATTCAGGCCAGGTACATCAAGAAGACAGAAGTTATTATGGTATCTGATCAATTGCATGGAACATACAATTTCTTAATTTAGAATATAAATGTAATTTATAAATAAAATGTAGTCCATATGGAACAGAGCTACATCTTCTAAAAGCATTGTCCCTCTTGGAAGAGAGTACTTTCGTTCAGTCTGTTCTCAGTAGTCTTGGGGAAAGGAGTTTCTGTGAATTGTAATAGCAATCCTACATTCAATATTATTATTTAGTGGTTAACTAAAATGCAATTTGTGACTCTGAGCCAAAAAGAGCAACCTTTTTTCCCACTGTGCCCTTGAACTTCTGATTTTTAAAGACTCCAATTTTACTTAAGTTTTACTAACACTATTTCAGCAAAGAACGTTTTGTCTGTCATGCGAGCCTTAACAGTGTTGTAACTTAAACTAGGATATTTCCCTTCATCAACTAAAGAAGAAAAATGGTACCAACCAGGCATTAGTCATCTAGAATGATTGCTTATTTAGAATTCAGGAGCTATTAACTGGCTTTGTAATACCAAAAGCAATATTTCATTTCTATAGTCCTCTATTTTCTCATTTAAAAAAAAGCAAGAAATGACCCTTGTGATAGCTTTTTATTCTAAGAGCCCAGGGTCTTAGTTATATTACCATATAGTCATATAGTTAAAAATTACATACAATGTAAGATAAAATGATACATAAATATTAATAAATAAATAAATGAATGAAGCAGATCAAGAGCTTTACCCAAGATGATCTTATGATTAGAAAATAAATTATAATTAAATTACTTCGGTAATATTATGAAATATCTAAAACTAAAACAGTATGATGTTGATATGGGTAAAACTTCTCATAACAAATTTTTTATACCAAATATAAAATAACCTATTTTTGATTCTTCAGTTTTATGATTAGTCTAGATATATATTTTCTGTTATTCACCCTTCTTGGGTGAGTTCATTAGGCTTTTGCAATTTGAGGACTGGTATCTTTTAACAATTCTGGGAAATGTATAACCATTATTTCTTGAACTATTTTAACTTTCTTATTCTCTGTCCCCTCTCCTTCCAGAACTCTGATTTGAGTTTTCATGCTGTGCTTTCTTACTTTGTATCCTGTGCTCTTAACCTCTCTTTTATATTTTCCATCCCTGTTTCTTGATACTTTATTCTGGACAATTTCTTCAGCTGTCTTTCAATTCACTAATTTTCTCTTATACTGTTTCCAATCTTCTATTAAACCCATTTATTGAGCTTTTAATTTTTAAAACAATGTATTTCCCATTTCTAAAAATTCTATTTTTTCATGTCTGCTTGTTTCTTACTTTCTTCTTATTCAGTTTTAGATAATATATTTTATTTTCATAAACATACAAAGTATACTTTTTTCTGTTCTTTGTCTAATACTATCAATATCTAAATATGTCAATACTACTATCTGTTTCTGAATACTCTCGCTTTCTTATTCTGTTTCTTTTTGTGTTTTGGGATTTGGGCTGTTCACTCATATTTCTTCAGAGAGTCATAGGAATGACTTGGAAACTGGGTTGAAGATGTATTCCTCCATTTGTTTCTTCCACTTTCCTAAACACACCAATCTCACAGCACCTCAAACCTACCTGAGGACTGTCCTGTGGTTACACATTCTACAGAGATATCCTTTTTCCTTCAACTGATATCAGACTTTGACATAAGTGATTTTCCTTGCTGTGATGGGGCAGCAAGGCAGGGAGCATTCTTTCCAGTTTTTATTTATTCTTTATCCTGAAGGGACAGGGCTTTGGAGTTCCAATTTTGCATGAAGCCTCCTGTTATAATTCTCATATTTAATAGGCCCTAAGCTTTTTCTCACACCTCCTATGCTCTGTGGGACACAAAAAAGCAAAAAAATCAAGCCACCCGGATTTGGCAAACATTCTAACAGCTGGCCTCATCGCTCCACTTTTCTGACTGGGTGCTCACTTTCACATAGCTTCTGGCCTCTGAGAAGTTCTTAACTCCTTGCCAGAACACCCGTGATCTAATGATGAGGGAGACTTTCAGTTTTATCCAGAGGTCTGTCAAATAATCTAGATTTCCTTCCTGTTAAAAACAGAAGTCCATTTCTATTGAATCTGAATCTAAATCTAAACATGTGTTGTGTGTTCCCTAAGACTTGAGGTACTGAACACTCGGCTTGTCATCTGTTGCTTAATGATTTGACTGATCTTCCTAAAGTAAATTTAGTAATTCCATTCTCACCCTTTCAATACCAGCTTCTGGCATCAGGTTAAAATCCAGTCACCCTAACCCATCTTACAATATGCTTAGGCATGCAGATCTCTCTACACGCGTCTCTACCATCAGAACCATCGCTTTCACCACCATCATTCAGTCCTACTGTGTTGCATTCAGTATCTTTGCTCCCTGTGCTCTCTTGAATCTTCTTACATGTTCTTTGCTAGAGCACACTTCTAGCCATTGGTCAAATTTCAGCTAATCTGTCACCTCCTGCAGAAAGCCTTCTGTGAGCTCCAGATCCAGGTTCAGTGGTGCTGAGTGGTGCCCTTCCTTAGTATCCCATGGAGCCTTACATCTATTTCCTCTATCACAGCTTTTATCACTCTGTTTTATCACTGCCTATTAAGATTTCAGTATCCCCATTACAATAAATATAGACTTTATAAAAGCAGGCATATTTGTTCTGTTCAATTATATACTTGGCACTGACCACAATCCCTCACACATAATAAACACTCAATAAATATTTTCATACCAAAAATGAAGTATCTTTCATCCTTTTCTTAATTGTAAACAAAAGTTTCATTGTGCCTGTATATTTCTATAGAATTGTGTCTTAAATTATTGAGTAATACAGAGATATGGGTATTTGTATTCATTTGAAAGATATTGTTATTTCAGAGCCTTATTTTTATCCTCAAAAAGCAATCTCTCAAAATGTTAACTCAAATCTGAAACTCAGTTAATGCTGTTGCCAAGAGGACAGCAAGTCATAAAAGCTTTGGGGACCCTATTCCTATTGTCTATGAAGAATGATTTAATTTCTTCATTACAATTCCTGCTGTGTTGAAAGAAAACAAGGTAAAAGACTCATCAGAAGGTCTTCCTGACTGAAATCTGGGGAGATTGTGGCAATTTGACATTCATTAAAGCAACAGCTAAAATGATTAGAGACAGCTAGACCCTAACCTGGCGCATGTCTGCCTAAAGAGAGGAAAGGCAGTGTGATATGTCTATGAGGTGCATAAATATTACCTTGCTTCCTTCTTTGCTCTCCTCTGATTCTGCAGTTACTTCTTTCACTTTTGTGTTTCTAATTCATCACCTTCAGGATTCATGTGAGGCCCTTTTTTCCATCAAAATTAACCTTAGAATTTGACTTAGCCAATAGTGTACCCATACTACAAGTTAAATTATTTCAGGCTGAAATTGCCACTGTGGTTTTTCTAAATACCAAAGTAATTAGTCATCCAACCATTTGCCTTGATGAAAATAGAGCAAAGTGGCAGGTTATAAACATGATGTAACTCAGCACAGTGGACATAGCTTTTTGTGGCTAATCAACTATGCCAGATTGTGTATATTATAAACCACACTCAAAAACTTCACAACAAACTTGACTGAATTTAAAAATAGTGAAATCTAGAGCACAAGAGTATATGTCTGATGTTGAAAAGCTCCAATATTATCAGTGATGTGTGGAGTCCCTGCAAACTCTTGAATCTTTTACTCTTTAACTCTTTAGAAACATTTACAGAGGTAGAAAAAGTAACATAAGTAACTTCTTTGAAGTTTCTGTTCATTAATTAATTATGACCTACAAGAGAATTGATTGAGCACTTGATTCAGCTTCAGAATTGTTCTTAGAATATGTCTGTGTCTAAAGTAGAGGGCCAGACTTTTTCCAGGATATTAGATCTGGTAGTATTTTATGATAAATGTCTATAAAATCTCTTTTCTAAGGGAGAAATGCAGCTCTTCTTTCTCAGTCTGATGGTAAGCATTAAATCTCTTTCTTCATGGATGATGTTCTCAACACATTATTATGGCATTGATATCGTACAGCAACCTAACGCATTCACTAGTAGTAATGAGGATTTTCGTGTAAAGAGAAAATCAAACAAATAAACATGTAAGTGTCTTCCCTAGGATCACACAGTGGCAAAGACAAATCAGGGAGCTGTCTAGTATCTAAGTAATCTGTGTCCCATTCCTGATTTTGTCCAATAGTAATACATCCTCCCATTAAAGCACAATTTAGGTTTATTTTTTCCCTGGAAGTAATGTGCTATTCTACAACCACAGCTTCCTCAAAGTTCCTTATATCTGCTTTAAAAAGGATCTGATTCTAGACACGAGCCTCTTTAATAGGAAGCCTGCTCTCCTTTGAGAGAAGTACACTGTGAGAAGACACACTGTGAACCATAAGAAACAAGTTGCTGAAGTGGATAATAACCTGGATAGGATATTGAAGCCAAAGATATCTATTTGTTGAGTGGCAGCATCACCAAATTGAGGGAAGTGACTTGTGGCATGTCATATGGATCAGCATTAGTATTGATTTTGGTTACTTTGCTGACCTAAAAGAAAGAAAATACAGTAAGGTGATGAAATGTGCTGGTGACACAAAGTGGAAAAATTCAGTCGATACAAGGCAGGAAAATGATAAAACTAACAATGACTTGGACAGGTTTGAATTATGGACTAATAAGTGCCTTATGCCATTCAGTTTTGGGAAAGTGTAAATAAATTAAAGTTAAATACATGAGAAAAATAAATCGAACTTTCTGTGGGACATAGTTACCAAATCGCTTCCCCCAGAAGTTCAACATGGAGACAACTTTTACTTTTCCAAATATTTAAGAATAAAACACTTGTAATATAATTTCATGCAAAAGGCCAATGAAAGAAGATATTGTGGTATTGGGGGGTACTATGCACTCATCCTTGAGAGGAATAAAATAAACTCTAAAGAAGTTTGGGTATTGAGTCAGGCAAGCAAGATTAACTCCTCAGAATGACAAAATGGCTCCCCTGGACCCAGTTAATATGCAGTGCCTTGGAAAGTATTCCCAGGGTTGGAAAGTATAACAGACAAGATGATTCAACCTTTATCACATTTATATTTATAAACAAAAACTAAAAGGTACAAGAGATCTCAAATGAGAAGTAAATGGAAACCTCAAATGTTATTATATTCACAGAGTGGGATTCAGATAGTTAAGGAATAAAGATGATGAAAGAAATACAAAATTAACAGGAGCAGGTGGGAAAAAAAAAAAAAGGATGACTTTATGCCACACGGCCTCTGGTATTGATGTCTAGTGACTTTATGCCACACGGCCTCTGGTATTGATGTCTAGTGACTTTATGCCACACGGCCTCTGGTATTGATGTCTAGAAATGGATCGATAGGCAGATCAGCCCCGAACATGCCTCTTGAAGTCACCCCTGTGTTTGAAGAGCTGTTTCTTTAGAACTGCCCCATCGTTGTCTTTCAGTAATTCCTCAGGTACTCGGGTATCTAAATCCACACATATTCTTTAGCTATAATAAGAAAGTAAAAGTCTCCATTCAAAAATTGTTATTTACATTTTTGTTCAAAATATTTTGTTCTGTTTAATAGATAATGGCCCTTTAAGAGACATATGATTGAAGCAATTTCAATAGAAGCTATCTTCTAGCGCTTCTTTTAAAGTGTGTGTCAGGGTCTGGCTAAGGGGAACCAAGTGTGAAGTGTCTAATGAGTGAACAATCTACTGCATAAAAAATAATCCACATCAGAAGGAGAAAGAGGAGGGGCAGTTTCACTCCTCCTTTCCAGTGTCAGGAGAAACATTTTATTTTAATTAGAGAAAAAACAGACATAGGGTCTTCACCCCTTCAAGAGTCCTGTATCATTACTTAGACATCTCTTATCTTCCTGTTTTTGCAAGAAGGAAAAAAGGAAAGAGGGAAGGGAGGGAGGGAAGGAGACAAATTCCAGAGAAGTACAGAAGTTTGACCTTGGTTGGATAACAGAAACTTTTAAAATTTCATGACTGCTACTCTGAAAATGCATGTAAATACAAAAAATTTGCAAACAATTTCAAGATTGACAGACCTCACTCCGAATCTCATTCATAGATCGAACTCTTGCATTGGAATTTATTGTAAAACCATGTCTCTGAATGGAAAATGTAACCAAAAGATGACTTTCAAACATGTTTTGACTATAGCCTTTGGCATATAGCAGCTTGATACACAGAGATCGGGATATACAATACACAGGGGAAAAAATATAGACAGAAAGCACAAAAAGGGCAGATTATACAATAGGCCACCAAAAATGCCTTAAGGACACTCTAGGAGTCTGACCCTGAATGGCACCACGTTGGTATATATCGGTTTCTCATGATACCATTGAGCTCTTCCTTAAAGAGCTGGCCCCAGTCTATTTTCCCTCCACTGCGGGTGACTTGAGTCATCACTTTGCTGTAAAGAATGTAATCTGCTCTCCAACTGAGAGCAAAGGTGAATTTAGTTGTGCTCTTTCTTCTTTCGTGAATAACATCTCCCTGACTGCTTGCTGTAATGCCAACACTTCTAGCCTCTACCTCTTCATCCTGTCAGCATCCTGTCAATTTGATGGGGGTTGGTTCAGCCAGATGGATTTCATCCAAAGCACTACATTCATCTAGCAATGTGATGTCTGGGACAATGCCACTTCTCAAGGAATCAATTGAGAATTGGCACATCTGAAATGTTTCATGCAAAGCTATGTCCAAGTACCTTTTCCTGATGTAATAGTGCATCAGGTTAATGCTAGACCTAATCTGGAAAGGAGCAAGTGTGGATAATGATCACTGAATATAAACTACTCAGTCCACTGAGTCTAGTAACATAAGCAGAAAAGCAGAGAACTACATCAGCCCACCGAAAGGCTTTCTCCATCCTACGGATGAGCAGTTCTCTCTTGGGAAACACCATCAATCGTTCTCATTATGTACTAAATGAAGGGCAGACTCCTCTGCTGAGCCTTCCAGACCTTGCAGAGTCTGTTTCCATTTCTGGTCTCATGACTTGCTGTGGGTCCACACTCAGCCTGGACTTCAACCAGCTGGCTCATAAGCAAACCCTGCATTTTTCCCTTCTGCTTTCTTTTACTTTGGGTGTTTTATTCCCATTCTTTGTCTCAGGATCCCACATCAAAATTCCCCCCATCCTTTGAAACTCAATTCCACCCTGCCTCTATCAAGAAATCTTCCTCTAAGTGTCCCACCTTTGTCTCTGGGGAAAATGACTCTCACAGTCCTTTGAGTGGGTAGAGCACAGGCTATGGATTCAGACAAATTTGAGTTTGAATTCAGTCTGTGTGCCATTAGAAAAGTTACTTACCCTTTCTGGGTCTCAGTTTTTTCATCTAGGACAGATGGCACCTTTCAGGAATATTGTAAGTGTTGTCCAGCGTGTGAGCAGTAGTCAATAAATGGCCACTTCTTTCTTTAAATGTTTTTCCCCCAGGATTCATCACATACTATCTCATTCTGTGACTGCTTAGATACATGTCTGAGCTCCTCTATTAGATAATACTGCTCAAATATTAACATATTGTAGAGGCCACCCATGACTTCAAATGTCAGCCACACCATTGTTCTTTTCCTCTTACTTTGCTTTTCTGCTTCATAGTGATGGTCACTGTCTGGCACTGCTCATTTTTTTGTTTGGCATCTAATTTCTCACTATATGAGCGCTCCATATGAGCAGGGGCTTTTACTATGTTGCTTACTAATGTATCACCAGTACCTAGGATAGTGCCCAGCAAATAGTAGGTGTCAATAATATTTGGCAGATTAATGAAGAATAAGCCCCTTGAGATCAGTGATAATTTCTTAATGATTATAAAACTTCAAGGCTGGAAGGGACATTTAAATCCCCTTATTAACTACAGTGCTTCTAGGACAACAATACACACAGTAGCGATCCTACCTTCTAATAGAAGGAGTAGCTCATAATTCCCTTGATGTTCCATCTCTTGAGCATCTCCCTCACATTGAGTCATCATTCCCAATGCCTAGACTTTCCCCTTCCTGCTGCTTATCTGCCTGATGAATTCCTATTCTCTCCTGGAGACCCTGTGTGACATAATGGCAGGAGCAGGAGCTGTGCAGGCATACAGAACTGGGTTTGATGGGCACATTCGCTGGGTAAACTTGCACACTTCATTTGGCTTCTGGGGGCCTCAATTGTCTTATTTATGAAGTAGGGATAGCAGAGGTGTGAGGGTAAAAGACGTCATCCATGGATTGCCCATTAGGCATCCTCATGGCAGGTTTTGTTTCATTTGAAAATGAAACAAAAACAAAACAAAAAGCTTTGCTGTTCCTTTCTCTGTGAATCTTTCTCTAACTCTGACAAGAAAAATTGATCACACCCTTTCTACATATTTTGATGAATCTTAGAAATTTCTACTCTATCAATAACCATATTACATTGGTACCACTTGGTTTCAAGTCTGTTTTTCCCACATGAATTGAGCTTAAGGACAGAAGTTACTACTTGACTGACCTTGGTAGCCCCAATCTCTAGCGCCACACCTGGCACAGAATAGACAGTCAATACATACTTGTTTATTAAATAAGTGAATCTATGAGAGTTGTACCTGGACTGTGAGGCTCAATGCCTTTGCTATTTCCCTAAATTATATTTCCTCATTGAAAAATTACTCTTACACATCACCTCTAAATTTGTGGCCTTTCCCACCTACCTTTCTTTCCTTAGGTCAATTAATATAGTCTTGGTGGCTCTCCCTATTGAGCTACAAAGTATTGCATGAATTGCCCTCTAATGTCCAGTTTCTTTCTATTAGCTTTCTTTGTCTAATTCAGTTTATGTACTCGTTCACTCATTCATTTATTCATTCATTTATCCACTCAGCATGCATGTATTGAACAAGGTGCAAAACAAGGTCCAAAACTCTTTGCTAGCTGGGTCAACAAGCACATCACATAGCTCTGGCTAAGCTGTGATTATCTTTTGTTTTTAAAAAATCAACATAGACAAAAATTCCATAGCACAACGTCCAGCAAGAATGAGTCTGTAATGCCAATTACCTGTACCTTTGCACATGCAGAATGAAGTCATTCTTAGTTTCCCTGGACATAGTTTAAAAAAAAAAAACGTAGTCAATATGTTTTCTGATTTCCAATTAATTTTCTAAGATTGGTAAATCTATATTTATATATTGATGAGCAGCACTAGGAAATAAAAGTCAGTTGCATATGGTATTATACTTTTAAATGGCACTATCATAGGTATTATAGCCAGTCCTTTTAAATCTAAATCTAAGCTTTTAGCGTATGATAAACTAAGCAGAGTTAAAGCAAAGAAAATGATTCATTTTCGTGCAGATCTTCCTATCTATTAGATTATCATTCCCTCCCAAAAAAAAGAGACAGATGTCACCCTGACCAGGCTTTCTAAAGAACAAAAGAATTTACAGGTTTGATGGTGCAAATGAAACTCGAAACTATCATAAAAGATGAAAATGCCCTCTCCACATAAGAAAGCAAATTGAAAATAACATCGAGCAAAAGGGCACAAGAGGAACAAGCTCTCATTATTAGATACTGCAAGTCAGAAAGCCTAAGAGCTTCCCTAGGCACAGCCCGTCACTCAGTCTGTACATCTGTAGAATGGAGATAAACAACAGCTCCTTTTCTTGTCACAGAGGTGGTAGGATTAATAAAACCAAGCTAGGAATGCATTTCAAAATGCACAGATGAAGTATAATAGAAATCAAGGGTAAAGACTGCTATTCAGAAATGCTCTTTCAAATATTCCTCATACTTGGGCAGATTTCTCTAGATGCTCAAGGCTTTGTCCACACGTGTAAGATTTTCAAAGGCCTCTGTGGCAAAAAAAAAAAAAAAAAAAAAAAAAAAAAAAAAAAAATTCATTGTTTGAATTGTAGAACAGAATAAGACCTCAAACCTTTGCTGACTGTCCAGAGTGTTGTTTCAGATGCCATATAATAAACAAAACAAAAAGGTAAGAGTCTCTTCAGACTAACATCACAGAAGCTAGAGGAAGGAACAAGAGTGCTGGATTAAAATATAGCAATCATAAATTCTATTTTGATTTCCTATTTCTTATTGCTGTCCTTGGAAAATCATTTACCTCTCCTCTCCCTCTGCAGTGGGTAGAGAACTGGGCTAGGTTTAGGATGCCTGGGTTAACACCTAGATTCAGCCATGCAAAGGCTCTGCACCCTCATTTTTAAAATATACACTGTGATTCCTATACTACAGACTGTTAAAGAGATGACAAAAATTATCATAAAAATACTGTCAACGGCAAGCATTCAATGTAAGAGGCTATTAGCAGAAAGTTGCTCTATCTACTGACTTCTAACTTCATAAAAACTACACAGAAATCATTCTGTTACCATTTAAAGACAAAAGCCCTGGTCTCACAAAATAAATAAGGTAGTCAACATCCCCACAGAAATCCACAGTATGAATTCTTGAGAAATGGCATTACAGGCACAGTTTGTTAGGCAGATGCAATACATGATCCTGGAAATCTGTAGTTAGAAGAAAGGGATGAAATGGTCATCTTGTCCACTCCATTATGTGGCAAAAGAAAGATATGCAAACAGATGCCGGCCCCATAAATGGGCAGACAAATGACATAGTTAAGGAGTGTAGCAAGGACAGTAGGTCACACAGTCACACATTCACACAGATGGAAACACTGGCGGCGGCGGCAGCAGCAGTAGCAGCAGCAGCAGCCACCTCAGATCTAAAGAACAATGATAAATATAACTAAAGGAATAAATGAAGTTGGAATACTGAAGTGCCGCTGGATGATCCTGATATTGTCTGTGAGTACATAACACACTAATCAAATCATCGAGAACGACTGCTGTCTAAACCATAAATATTTTTCTGAAGCTTCAGAAACATAATGCAGCTGTGTGCTTCTGTGATAAGCCCTCTGTATAGAAAGCAGGCCAATAAGCTCACAGAGATAGGATGAAGGGGCTGATGGTGGAGAAGGGAAGAAAGTGGTTCTGCCTTCACTCCACTATTGGCTCAGCAACAGCCCAATATGATATAATAATCTTTACATGCATAGCACCTTTCTTACAGGGAAGAAAAAGCAATTTCCAGGCATTACCTCATTGCTCTTCATCACACCCCTGGGGAATAGGTAGCAAGTATTATCCAATTTTGCAGGCAGTGAAAGTGAGGTCGTGATTGGCTGAGTGTCTTAGTAAAGGTTAGAGAGCAAGTCTGTGCTGTTGCCAAGATTAAAACCAGTTCTTCTGCTTCCCTTTGCAATACTTATTACTTAAACACACTTTAAAACTCATTAAAATGGCAAGGAAATGTGCTCATAGAATAATGTCAGTAACAAAAAATTAAAAAGGAAGGAAAATTTCACATTCAATACTATTTTTACTTGTGTAAAATACATATGTTTATAAAATTGAACTTACAGGCAGCCAATATTAGCAGCAGTAACATCTGGATTGTGGGATAAATGGTGACTGGGGTTTTTTTCTTCATGACATTCTGTATTTTCCAAATTCTATGTTATAAGCAATCACATTTTTGATGAGAAAAACAATTCAACGTGTAAAATTCATTAACAGTGCTTTATAGATCACAAAAGTGTGAAAGTATCTGTAGGTCAGAAATAAATTTAAGTGTTTCTGGACTAGATACGATAGTTGTTAATAAAATAAAAGAAAACATCTCTACTGTATTCTCTTTTGCTTGCAAACTTGCTCACACTATATACACCCTCCCTACTAATCAATAATACCATGGTCTCTACTAAATTAAGACCAAACTTCTGAGCCCAACATGTAGCCTAGGATATGACCACAATGAACTTGTCAGCTTGCTCTTTGACTAGATTCTTAACTACTCTATGCATGTTCTTTTCTTCAAAAATTATCTCATTTGTTGGGGAAAAGACAATCTTTTACACAAATGGTGCTGGGAAACCTGGATATACACATGCAAAAAAAAAAAATCAAGTTGTACCCTTACCTTACACGCTGTATAAAAGTTAACTCAAAATGGATCAAAGATCTAAATGTAAGAGCGAAAACTATAAGACTCTTAGAAGAAAACATAGAAGAAAAGCATAATGACATTGGACTTTGGCAATGATTTTTAAAATATGACACCCAAAACACAGGGAACAAAAGAAAAAATAAGTCAGATTACAGAAAATTAATTTTTTTTTGCACAAAGGACACTATTAACAAAGTAAAAAGGCATCCCACAGAGTGGGAGAAAATATTTGCAAATCATATGTCCAATAAAGGTTTAATGCCAGAAATATATAAAGAACTCTTATAACTTGACAACAGCAACAAAAAAAATTATTTTAATGGGCAAAATACTTGAATAGATGTTTTTCCAAATAAGATATATAATGCCCAATAGGCACATGAAAAGATGCTCAGGAATTTCATTAGGGAATTTCAAGCCAAAACCATGAGATATCACTTCACACCCATTAGGATAAGTGTCATTTACAAAATAAAACAAAAAACAAATGTTGGTGAGGATGTAAGGATAACTGGAACCCTCACACACTGCTAGTGGGAATGTAAAATAGTGCAGCTGCTATGCAAAAACAACATGGCAGTTCCTCAAAAGTTTATAAATAGAATTACTATACGATCGAGCAATTCCACTTCTGAGTATATATCCCAAAGAATTGGAAGCAGAGACTTGAACAGATATTTGCACATTCATGTTCATAGCAGCATTATTTGCAATAACCAAAAGTTGGAAGCAACCCAAGTGTGCATTGACAGATAAACAAATAAACTGTGAGATACATCTATCCATCTACATATTAATATATAATACTCCACTATATATCACATATATATGGAATACTGGTATATATATATATATATATATATATATATATATATATGAGCATTATTCATTCTTTACAAGGAAGGAAATTCTGACACACAGATGTGTCACTTCTACACAAAAAGCAAGTATTGTATGATATAACTTATACGAGGTATCTATTATGGAAGAGTCAAATTCATAGAGAAAGAAAGAAAAAATGGTGGATGTCAGTGGCTGGGAGGAAAGAAAATGAGGAGTTGTTATTTAGTAGATATAGAGTTTCGGTTTCAGATTTTAAAAGCTCTGGAGATGTATGATGACCATGGTTGTACAACAATGTGAATGCCCTAATGCCATTGAACAGTCCACTAAAAAATGGTCAAAATGATAAATGATAAATTTTATGTTACGTATATTTTACCAAAATTTAAAAAGAAATCTAATTTGTTTCTACTTTGAGTGTCTTTGCTCCTTTAGGTGAAAATGTCCCCAGCTTTGAAAATTGAACTTTGTATTCAAGACTTCCGATTAAATATTACCCCTTTTTTAATGAAGTCTCTCAATCAGATGCAACGTCATCCTCGTCTGAATCCTAATTACAGTCCTATAATTTAACCAAGTGCACTACAATGCCCATTTCATATATCATTTGATACTCGCAAAAAAATACTAATCTATTTAAATGTAAGAAATTTGGCTGGGAAAAGTTATGCAACCTGCCAAGGTCAAACCACTAGTGTGTGGCTGAGCTTCCAGTCTGTGATTTCCAGCTTTAGATGGAGCCACCCAAAAACTACTAGATCTAACTTTTCTGCACTAAATATACACCACTTTGAATTCATTGTTACTTATAAGCTCCTTTAGTATAATTCTACTAGGCTATAAATTCTTTGAGAACAAGGACCAAGTCCTAAACATTTTTGTAACACCAGCAATCCCAAGCATACGTTCAATCAATCATCATGGAATTGATGAAATAATAATTTGTGGGTGATTTACATAATAACAGAATGGACTCTACTAAGCAAACACACATCAATCATCTAGAATTGAAGGACATAAACACTATAAAAGATACTGTATTCCCGATATCAAACTATAATATTTATCTAGATTGATGAGATATCCAACCAGTTAATTCTTGTGAAACAATGTTGTTCAGAAGAACCAAAAGTGGCTTTAGCTGAGTAATACCCAATTTCTGCATTTGCTTTAACTCCTCTGCTATTTACGAACTGTGTTATTTTAAGCAGTCATCCTCAATGTTTTGATAAAGATTATTACCGCATCTTAGTTATTGGTTTCTGTAAAATATTTTATACTGTTTCCATTTAAGCTAAACAAACCAATACTTTGATATACTTTTTTTTTTTGAGATGGAGTTTCACTTTTGTTGCCCAGGCTGGAGTGCAATGGTGTGATCTCCGCTCACTGCAACCTCCATCTTCTGGGTTCAAGCGATTCTCCTGCCTCAGCCTCCTGAGTAGCTGGGATTACAGGCATGTGCCACCACACCAGGCTAAATATTTGCACCTCAATGATTTGCCCAGATGCTTGTCTAGGTCATGGTTCTAACCCAATATATTGTATAGCAGCTGATCTCTAAACTGGACTTAACTTTTTAACATTTATTTGAAGATTAACTGCAAATGTGTAATATTAGCAGCATGCTCTGCTCACTGATGTTATGCCAGAAGCCTATTAGGCATATAGACTTTATGTTCAATTATTTTACTAGTCCCCATATATTACCAGTCCTTATCATTAACTAGGTTCCCCTTTATTCTCTACTTTCGATAATTATATTCTAACTGACCTTATAGTTTTCTGAGAAGAACAGAGTAAAGATTGCAGAATGTACTACCAAAGACATGTTGTTTCAATGACAAGCCATGGTCATGTGCTGCGGTCATGGAACATGGCATTTCCACACACTCTCACAACGTCATGGCCACACCTGCAGCCTAAAAGAGGCAACCTTCCCCTTAGGAACAGGAGCTCTTTGAAGCCTGCCATGTTGATGAGGCACTGAGTATTTTTAGAAGACCTGTGGGGTTCATAGCTCGCTTCCGGGGGTATGTCTGTATGTAAGACTTTCACTGTCTTGTACATGACATAGTAATGCAGTGTGGATCAGAAATAGTGAGCAGTGTTTTAGAACAGGGAGGTTTTCCTCTGGCACTTCTCCTAAAGGTTTTTTTTTCTCTTAATTTGACACTCGACTCATCTAACTTTTCCATATTTTCTATGAAATAAGAGAAGGCAACCTCAGCATCTTGGCTGATGCCTCAAGGCACTGTAGAAACAAGAATGCGAGATGCCACTCTAATGAGCTTGTTCTCAAGCCATAGCCTCAGATGTATGTCTACCAGCAGGTGCACACTCAGCTTTTTGCACGTGTTTTGTAATCATTCTAAGGTAATTGCTCTCTGGGTCAGATTTAAGCTCATTCCTTCACACGAAGCCAAAGCAGGCACTGCACACTAAGGGAGGCTAATCTTGGCTTGGGAAATAACAAAGGCCTTTTCTGTTTTATAGCCAAAGAGACTGAAACTCAAGAAAGATGGGAGGAATGTACTTTAGGCAATTTGTAGCTATTTTGCTTGATTTTCTCTTGAAGCAATAAATAACTGTGCTCCCTGCTGCTGGTATTTTATCAAGCTCTGTTTGTTATAACAGTGTATTATGTTCCATACAAGACAGCATCATTGAGCTTTCTTTTCATGTTTCTCTACTACAGTTTAACTCTGTGAGGAGCAATACCCATGTACCACCAGGATGAAGAAATAGCAGAACCTGCTGCTAAATGCCACTGCCTGAAGGCAGAGTTCCCCTATTAGGAACGAATGAATGCCAAGTTGGCTTCTTTCATGTAAATTAATGTGGTGAAAAAAAAATAAGCAGGTGCCTCTGGATTAACAACAACTCCCTGTGGACAATGACCTTTGCCACTGAGAATACCAAAACAAGAGAAAGTTGTCTCCAACATAGTCTACCTGACCCCTGCCCGCAAGCCACCCACTATCTTCTAAACACAGAAGAACAGCAGTAGTAGAAGTGGATCTGTGAAAATGGTCCTATCGATTTGGTTTTTACTGAGGTGTGGTCTAGTTTGTTTCTCTGTAAAAGGCAGAGGAGTCACAGAATATTGCCCAATTGGTGTCATAATGACGTGAGTTGCAACTGACCAGAATCACTGTTCTTCAAATTATGAGACTTATGATATGGAATTTGCCTACCCACTCCCAAAGCCTGTACTCACCGTCGATAATAATGACAACTATAATTGTTACACATATTCAAAAGCATTTTTTATTTTCTTTTGTTTTATTTGGTCCTTAGAAAACAAACATAGATAAGTAGGTAATTATCATCCTCATTTGTTATCTCGACCACAAGGAAATCACTGATATATAAAACTCCTTTGGTACCTCAGCTTTCCTCTCTTTAATAGAGGGTTTTACAAAGCTTTAACTGTTCACTGGGCCTGTGTGAATCCACATCACTGAGAATAAATTGCACAACACTTTCAAATGCAGAAGGGCTGTGTCTGTGCTTCACATTCAGCTGCCTTCTCCTTTCCTCTTATGAATTACATTTAAATGAATTATGGCACAACAAGACCTGCCAAGCCTAAACCTAGGAGTGTGTGAATGAGAGCACCCCATAAGTAATAAGCGATCAGAGCCGCCAGCAGGGCGCATGGCACCCAGGGCCCTGCACTCCACACTGTCTTCCCAGTGCTGACAGGAAAATCTTGTGCCAGGAAGAATCCATCTCTTCGGAAGACAAGAAGATCCTAGAACTAGTAGTAGCAAGAGTCTACTGCAATGAGGAATGGGGGAGGCAGAGCACAGACATTCCTCTTTACTGTGTGCAGCCAGTAAATCTAGTTGTAAAGACAAGTAAACTTGAGTGGTGGGAGAAATGTTCTCCATCTGAAAGTCCCGGGGGCTCAGTAAATGTTTCCTTATTAATAATAGTTTAGAGACGAAGCCTTTTAACTTAGGAACTTTTAGGAGTCATTTAGGGCATAATATATTAAAGAATGCTACGACATTAAAAGTAATATAAATAAAGGAAATGTAGTCTGCGTAAAGATCATTTGGATAATTATTTCATCTCTTTGCATCCATAATTTTGAAATAAAATATAGTCTTTCCTCACTTCATCTGCAATAAATCATTTACAAAAAGTAAGTGGCTTCACAAATAAATGACTGTATCTATGACTACTCTCCCAAAATCAATAATACATTTATTGATAATTCTGCATTTAAAGGTTCATTTCACCTTAGTATTGACATTCTGTCTCCCCTGCCATTTCATTAGATTTAAAATTTTTCATTCTTGGTAATGAACTGTAAGAAAGTTATATGTTAGAAAGTGGCCCCATTTCAGAGCTGGGCAATGCAACTCAATATATCATTTTCTATTAATTACCACAGTCAGTAAAGTTTCTTGTTTGTGTGCTCAGCAAAATTAAAGTTAGGAGTTTTTGGCTTCATTTTGTAAGCCAAGATTCCCTGACTTGTCCTTAAATACACCACTTCGCTGCTCTATAAAATAGAGCAATATATTAAAAACACACTTCCTCTGAGCCTTCAGATGAGACTTGAGTTAGTTCAACACATTCTTTTGAGTACTACAAAGTGACATTTGGGTGGAGAACTACCAGCGATTCAGACCCAAAATGTAACACCTGCCTTTGAGAAGCTTACAAATGAATGAGACAGCAGATAAATAAACAGAAAATCTCAAGGTGAAGCAGGAAGCTCTAGTCTCTAGGTTTGTAAATGGGTAAATGCGGCATGGAAGACGGGTGTTAGCTCAGAGGGGTAATTTGCGGAATGCTGCATTGATGAGATGACATTTAAACAAAGTGTTAACTTTTTTAACATTAAGATTTCATGACGGAATGTAAAACATAAATGAACACGTCTAACTGCATCAACTCACTAAGCAATTTAATAAAATCATTCCTACAATAATGTAGCACGTGACCTTTTGTGAAACTCTATTTGGGAGCATAATTACGTGGATGAGCCAAAGTCCAATCGCAACACAAAGTCAATGCACAACCTCAGAGGAAATAACACAACCGGGGGAATACATAAGTTTTCATCTCCACCTTATATTAATGCTGTGATCCCATTAAAAAAAAAGTTACAATAATTTTAGACGCTAGCGTAGGCTGGATTAGAAAAGCGGAGTTTTACTGCCATCTCCTGGCAGTACTCGATGATGGCTGTCAGTAAAATGATACTGGATTCTACCTGCAGGCTCAGGCAAAATAGTACAGACAGAAGCGGAAATGCTTATCGTTAGCTGTTTTATTAGAAAGTATACATTTAAAACTCATTTCCGATGAAATGAATTTTCTGAAACTTTATTTCATCTTATTCTGATCGGATAAAAAACTTAATGCTTTTTTTTTTTAGTAAGTTTTAAACTGGTAACCCCAGAACTGAAGAAATTCTTTATTCACATCTCTTGAATTTGTTATATATACCTTGTTATTTCCAACACAATTGAATAAGATACACTTTAGGGAAAAGACTGTATTTTCCATCAGATTTTCAATTAGCTGAAACAAGATATTGTTTGCACTTGAATGAAGTAGGCTACAATATATTTCATATGTTGTCAAACGAAATATTTAAATGTCTTCTCTTTGTCTTGGTTTGAGAGCAGATTTTATGGCACCAAGTCCATGCACCAAATTTGTGCTTCTCCAACTCTCCCTGAGGCCTTTCCTTAACTACAAAACCATTTACGGCAAAAAAAAAAAAATTAACGAAACCAATCGTTCCATTACTTGCTAGCTTTCATTATATACTGAAACATCTATTCAGCATTTGTATCTGCTAATGCAACAGAAACTCATCTGCTCAATGAGATTTATCACTTTTTTTTTACATGTTCACAAGATATTGCTGTACATTTTGCAATGGGTCTTTATTACCTAGTAATGATGCCTTGCAAATTAAATTAGTTTTTAATGGCATAGTTAAATTCTAATTTATGTTTCGGAGCTTTGTTTAATTCATTTAGTTATAATGTAATCGTTTTCTTGCTATTTTCTTACATTGCATAGAAAGAACAAAAGAATAGGGGTTCATCTCATCACATTCAGTTGTCTTGGCTTTATTAAATCTTGTCAATAATTGCATTTCCCCCAAGAAAGTTTCAAAACAGTTGCAGTCCAATTCTTCGGGGAGAAAAAAAAAGAAAAGAAAAAACCTCTCTGGCTCTCTGGTTGCTCAGCAGTCTGTATAAGGAAGTTGAATCAAACTATTACTGTAACTCCAAGGGTTGGTTAGATATTGCCCTTCCTCATGCTCATTATAACCCTACCGTGCCATGTAATGTATTGGGCAATTATTCTTTTGCAATAAATTCCTTTCCTGTGAGCTCTTTCTTTCCTGAACATTCAGGAAAACTGAAACCAAAAGTGATCATTAGCAGCACAGAAAGTAATCTTTTATAATGTCTACTTGCATTTTCTTCCCTCTCAATCGACAGGTCTTTCACAGACCTGACTGCAATAACCTTTTATAATGCCTTTTCACTAGGGTCCACGCTGCAGGAGCAAAAAAGACCTTAGCAAGTTTCACGGTTTTAAGCCAGAAACTGAGTTATGGAGTTGCATGGGAATAATTAATATCATTTAAAATTTATTGAGCCGGTTTGACCCTACCTTGGTGTTGGTAGTTTTTTCAGGAGAACTAAAGCACACAGGGGGCATTTTAATGAGGACTATTTGCAACACAGGCTGTTTAAGTTTCCATCCAAACAAGGACAGTTTTCAGGCCCATTCTTCCTTTTCTTCCAATGAGAAGAGAAATTTCATATTCTGGAGAATTCTCCCATTCCAATTTTAATGTGTGCATATCTTCCTGAATGTCGTTTCTCCCGACTTCTGGGTACAACATGCAGATGACCCAGGTGAGAAAGTCACAGTTCGTGGTTTTCTCCTGGTTGCATGGATTCCACTCCTCACCCTGACCACCATCTTTTAAACTCCTGATCTTGATGACCAAAAAGATCAGTAAACCATTTTCTTCTTCTGGAAAAGCAATTTGCCACACCAGTCCTACCAGCTAGGAAGCAGGAGTGACAACTTCAAAATGAAAGCAACATTAAAAGGAATAACTTTTCATATTTCTTACAAGGATAAAACAAGAATATGTGATGTTTGGGTGAGAAGGAGATTGACTGTTCAGCACATACCTTTATTACTCTTTTAAGTTTTTCTCTGTGCATGCTCGACTTTTTCAAAAGCTTGCTAAAATATAACAAGGTGATATAAGCATGTGATACTACTCCTGATTTTAATTCTATTTAATATTATACCTGTTAAACGATGAGAAAAAGATAAACTAGGACACCAAGATTCCTTTTACATGAAATAATATTTCTGTAAGAAACTAATGAAGAATAAAAGCCGCCTTAATATTAATCCCCTATTTCTCTGAACTTTCTTGTCTTAAAATTTACTGTTGACAAAGACTAGCACAATATCCACAGTGTGGATCCAAGATTATAAATTGATCCTTAAGATTCACTTATGAAGGAGACACATCTGCACTGAAGTGAGCTTAGAAATAAAAGAGCATTTGTAGAAAAAGTAATTTGCTTCGAAGCTCAGCCCTGCTCTCAGCCACTCATACACTCCTGTCCATTGCCTAGGAGCAATGTGCTGAGAGTTGAATTTGGCTCACAGTCAATAGCCTCTTTCTTTAGCCTCCCAGGTGTTACATAACACACCTTGCTTTCTGCCTAATTCTCCCCTGAAGTTATCCTCTTCTTTTCCTAATATTGTAGTTCACACTGATGGAGATATTGTTAGAATCTCAGAGGAGGAATGAAAGCTTTTAGGACATGGTTCAAATAAAAATGTTGTTGATTGTGAAGGCAATTTTCTTTAAATATAGAATTTTCTTATTTGTTTATTTCCACTCAAAGTAACTGTGACCTGTAAAATAGAAGCATTCATGAATTAGTTGACTTATGAGTAATCCTTATCCCCACATCCAAACAACGGGGGGTCTCTAAGCTCTTGCCAGTAACACAGCAGCCATTGGAGAACCCAGAACTCTATAGATTTCTGCCCTTCTGCAGCTTCCCAGTTGCTCACTGTTATGGGTTGAATTGTGTTTCCCAAAAAGATATGTCGAAGTCCTAACCCTCAGTATTTGAGAATGTCACCATATTTGGAAATAGGGTCATTGCAGATATAATTTGTTAAGATTAGATGATACTGTAGTAAGAGAGGTCCTTAACCCAGTATGGCTAACATCCTTCTAAGATGCAGCACATGGGGGAAAAGGTCAAGTGATGACAGAGGTAGAAGGTGAGTGATGAAGCTGCCAGCCAAGGAATGCCAAGGATTGATGGCCACCACCAGAAGGCAGGAAGAGGCAAGGTAGGATTCTACCCAGAACCTCAGAGGGAGCCCACATGGCCCTGCTGACACTTTGATTTTGAACATCTAGTTTCCAGAACCATGAGAAAATACATTTCTGTTGTGTTAAGCCCTCACAGTTTGTGCTATTTGGTATGGCAGCCCTAGGAAACTAATAAACCTGCCCACCTACTAGCCTCGCCATGTCCCCAAATCAACCCTAGTAACAACCACTTCCACTTCCCAGGGGTCTATGGGGCTCAGAAGTAATTATGAGGGTTATGGATCCAGGCAATGTATTTTATTCATATTTCAGGTACACTGGATTCCAAAGACTTTCATGACAAGCCCACCATCAAATTATAACACTCTTAATGAGGACATGGTTTTAAATTCCAAATACTTTTCATAAAATGAATTTTTAGAACATAATCTGTTTAAGTAAGATTTACCTATTCAGAGAAGTTGTATTGTTTTTAATACACCTTAAGTTTTGCCATGAAATATTATGCAGCCGTAAAAAAGAATGAGATCATGTTCTTTGCAGGGACATGAATGGAGGGCTAGAGGCCATTATCCTTATCAAACTAAGACAAGAATAGAAAACCAGATACCACATGTTCTCACTTATAAATGGGAGCTGGATGATGAGAACACATGGACACATGGACACACAGAGGGGAGCAACACACATTGGGGCCTTTCAGAGAGTGGAAGGTGGGAGGAGGGAGAAGATTGAGAAAAACAACTAATGGGAACTAGGCTTAATACCTGGATGATGAAATAATCTGTACAACAAACCCCCATGATGCAAGTTGACCTAGGTAACAAACCTGTACTTGTATCCCTGCACTTAAAATAAAAGTTTAAAAAAAAGTTTTGCCATGAAATTGAGGTGTCTAGGAGTACTTTATTTTTAACCTAAGAAAAATCATATATTTTCTAAATAATGTTACCTTGTCCATGAAAATAAAAGTGCAATTGGGAAAGTTTTGGTTCGGCCTGAAGGAAATCTGGTAAGACCAAATACATATTTCTCCACTGGATATAAAAGGAAAAATAAACAATTATAGCTTTTATTAATTTTCAAAGGATAGAGAGAGAATAGCTTTAAAGGTATTTAGTCTAGTTTTGAAGGAAACATGCAAGTCTAGCAACACAGTCTTTTATAAGTGTATGATTGTTTGGTTTGGAGATGCTGGGGTATCAATTTCACTCCACACAGGATGTTGGCTCAGGAACTGGCTGGTTCTTTGCTAGATTGTTCGGAATACACAGACACTTCCAATAACCTTATCCTCAGCTATGCATTGTCATGAACCAACCCTACAGTGTTTTACAAACTTTTTGACCTTGTTCTAAATTAAGAAATATACTTTACACTATGACCCAATGCAAATAGACCTCTACATGAACATAATTTATATAAATATATATAATTGAAACAAACATTTCAAAAAGCAATGCTTGTCTTTTTAACTTATAATATATTCTCATATTTTTCATTCCTTCCTATATCATTTAATGATGCTGACCTTGATCTATTAAACTGACTTTACAGCAGTTAAAATGGGTATAGCCCACCATCAGACAATAGCCATAAACTCTATCATTGCAATGAACTCCAACTCTTCTATGGTTTTGATTGAAGAACCCTGAAGCTCCTCAGGACATATAATCCACTGATCCTACCACTTTTTTGTGAACCCATCCGTTTATGTGCTCATTACCCTCCATACCAGGTAAACTCCATGATTCCTTATTGTAATCACTTCCTTGCACACCCTCTACTCACTTTCCCCCTTTTGCTTTGTCGTACTGTTTTGGAAAAACACAACCCTGATTATATCCAAATCTGTACCCTAGGCACATATACCAGCAGGAGAACAGGGCTGGAGGAAAACACCCAGACACGCTATTGGTCTCACTTAAACTCATCAATACCAACTCCCAATGGACTTTCATGCTGCCTTGTGAATATTATCCAGCCTCACGACTGTAAACACCATTTTCACCAATGACTCCCATTTGCGTCTCTAACCCAGGTCTCTTCCTGAACTCCAGATTTGTTTATCTAACTGCCTATTTGGCACCTCTACTTAGAGGTCTAACAGGTACCTCAAACAACATGGCCAAATCCAGGCTCCTAGTCACCATACTCTACCCCAAATCTGCTTCTCCTGCAGTCTCCCCTATCTCAGGAAATGCACCTCCTTTCTTCCAGTTGCTTTCCATCTGAGTCACAGTAGAAGCTGATGTCCTACAGGAAGCCCTCCACCACCTCGCCCCATAGTCAGCTCACTTCTCCCCACTGACCTCACACTCACATATCACACACCAGCTGCACTGGTCTCTTCTGTGTGCCAGGCACTCTCTTCCCTCAGAGCCTTCACCCAATAGTTCTTCTCTTCTCTCCAATAGTTCTATGGCTTGCCTTCTTCAGATCTTTGCTCAGGTGCTGCCTGCTCAGTGTAGCCCTCTCTAATCACCCACTTAAAATTGCAGCTCGCCTCCACCATAGCACTATACTCCATCCCTGCTTTTTCTCCTTAGCACTTGTCATTATGTAACATGCTGTATAATTTATTTAATTATCCTGCTCTTTGTCTGTCTCCTTTAAATAAACTATATGCTCCATGAGGACAGGGATTTTTGTCTATTTTGCTCTTGACTGTACTCACAAGTTCTTGGTATTCAGTACAATAAATGTGTTCGATTAATAAATGAATGAATAAGTACACAGAGTCAGTGCCATGCAAGGCCACATACTGTACCTGGGCTTCAAATGTGAAACCAAATGTTCCAAAAGTATGGATTTGGATTGTTAGTCTATTTTATACAACCTGAGTGAACGGTATGTATAACTTTTCTTTGCAGTACTACTATAAACACAGAATCATAGCACTTTCCCTAGTGATTACATTGTTCCTAACTTACCTGGGAAAAATACACACAGAGACACACGTAGGGAGATCAAGAAAGGTAAAAATACTTGGATCTTCCTATATCTCAAGACTAAGGTCTAATTCCTAGGCTATGTGTTTGAGAGATGCAACTTCCTTCTGCAAAGCACCTATTCTGGACTTGAGATATACCGGTTTACTGTGGCTCAAAACTGGAAAACCACCACAAGGTAGAATTCGACAGACCCCTTCTGTGATGTCAAAAGGGTTACTGGAGTCCTCAAAAACAAAACCCCACGAGCGCAAGATGAGCCTACAGACTCCCTACTATCATCAGCGTGCACTTTGAGTCATAACAGATAATTCTAGCACCAAAAAAGAAAAAAAATACAAGAACCCATGGCACAACAATTCTAAGCAACTTGGGTTAACTTGCAGCAAATCAAGTCACAGCAAATTCTATATAACTTACTAACAACTAGCATATTACAAAAGAGTATTTCCACTTTGCAATGCAGCATTCATTTCTTTTCCTTTTAAAAATAAAAAATTTAAGCAATTTTTTTGTTTTCATTTTGCCACCTGGAGTCTTAAATTTTGCCCTCAACTTTGTAATTCATGATGCTGCTCTCAGATGGGCGCTATTAACAATGCTGAGCCATCTGGTAGCCTCCTGTTTTAACCAAACATTCTTGCTAAGTAGGTATTAAGATCAGTTGTTCCTGCAAGCTGACGGCATGCGTATGCTGTAAACATGTAAATGTAGCAATCTTTTTTAAAGATTATTTTAAATTTCGGTATTCTCTAAATGTTGGTGCCCTCTGTCCTGATTATACCTCTGCCCTTGAAATTTTATTGGCATTTAAATTAAGTATTTATGAAAGGGATTGAGAAGGGGGAATACTTATGAAGCCTTGAGGAAGATAAAGAAAGGATAAATCTAAGTGATGCTAAAGAGATATTTCTGAGATCATCAGCTGTCATCAATTCACCAATATCCACTAAGTTTCAGCTTTGCCATCAGCTCTTCTATGCACATATAAAGCCATCTGTTGTGAAGAGATCGATATCACACTGCAACATACTGGCCAGAAAGCAATAGCTAGCTAAGTTAGAACACTGTCAAGTTGCTGAACAACTTTCCCAAAAATTTTCTTTTAAAAAAACAGTATTTCAAAACACAGTGCAAAAATTCTCTCATATTTGCATTGGCTATGCAGTATAGAGATGCAACTCATGTTTGTTCCTGATTATTCCATTAAGATCCCTCCAGCAACTTTCTCTTTTTTTCTATACCCAGCTGGCATTCCACAACGACAACAACAACAAAAGACTCTTCACAGATTGACCTCCAATAACTTTTAAAACACACATAGAATGCCTAGACAATGTCAGTGCCTGAATACCACAACAGCAAGACCCAGGAGAGAGTGAGGGGGCAGAAGGGAAGAAAAGATAAGACACACAACAGGAGGGAGCGGCCTAACTGGAAAGCAGGTAACTGTGGTCTTCAGTCAATGGTCAGAAAAGGACAGAATGCAGGAGAGAAAACTATTGATGGGCCCTGGAGAGAGGAGACAGACCAACTACCTCCTGAATCTCTAAAGGCCCGGCTCTTGTCCAGTAATTTCATTTTATTTTACAGAAACAGGAAATCCTCCGTGGCCATCTCATACGATCATTCTCTCTCCCTCTCTCTCTCCCTTTCTCTTTTTAGCAGAGGGAACACATCAAGTGGAATCATCTACCTTCAGCTGGGAGGAGAAAGGCAATAGCTTCCCATTTATTTCAGCTCATATTACAGGGAACATAAGAGAAGGGAAATTTTCTACCTGCTGGGCTTC
Organism: Homo sapiens; assembly: GCF_000001405.40. Taxonomy (NCBI): domain Eukaryota; kingdom Metazoa; phylum Chordata; class Mammalia; order Primates; family Hominidae; genus Homo; species Homo sapiens. The sequence continues at coordinate 129,336,238 of NC_000004.12, read as the reverse complement.
AAATAAAGCTCAGTTTATGTCCCCTTGGATTTCACGTTCAGAAAAAAAAATCATGTAGTGACCCTCAAAACAACCCAAAAAGGGCAATAGGAGACTTGATAATGGATCAGTTCACTGGGAAAGAGGAAAAGGGCTTAAGTTCCCTACTTGCAAAGCAGCCTAAAGAGAAAGCATTATTCCATGCCCAAGCCATGCCACGTGCCCCAGATCATTGCTTTCTTTTCCGCACTGAATTGTGTTTTCACATCTATTGTTGCAAATGTTTCAGGGCCACTAGAAGCTGGAGAGTCCTGTTTTTGACACAGCTGGAGAGCAGATTGTTGGGGAATCGGGGGGCACCTTCCCTGAGGAGTGAGCCCTTTTACCCAACACTCCAGTTGTCTCACAATCATTGGAAGCAAAGAATGCAAAGCCCCCGTCATGCTGCCATAATGGACTGTGATTAAACCTTGGCTGAACTTTCCCCCACAAAACAAGGTATCACATAAAGTACCCAAAATCAGGAGTATTTTGGGAAAAACAATCATTCACTTGTTCAACCAAAAAAAGGTTTCTAGATCTAATTGTTACCTGCAGTGCGTGCCATAAAAAGGTTGCTGGCTACAAGACAGAGTTGTATAAATAGCATGACAAACAGCTGCAGATTTCAATTACTCCATGATCATCAGTGTATAGAATAAAGAGGCAATTTTGCAGAGGAGAAACCACGGGGAATACATCGGACTGACAACTGCCTGGAATTCAATTTGCCGAAGTGGTATTGAAATATGGGGGAGAAGTCGCAGCGCGCTGATTAAGTTTCAAGCTGCTGCATTACTAATACTGTCTCATGAACCTGTATGCTCTGTTATCACCATAGCAACATGATCATCAGAGCAATCCTGAAAACAGGCTACACCACAGACTGTTCATTTACATTTGTGATAAATGCTGGAAAAGTCAGGTACATTAATAAGCCAGGACTCTCAGCAAACCTGACACCCTAGAAAAATTGCAAAGAGTAAAAAATATTGTTTTTCCATACCTTTAGTTATTTGACACCTATAAACAAACAAACAAACAAGAAAGATTTATGAAGAGTAGAGCCAAATGTTCATCCAAGAAGAAATAAATACAGAAAATCTGTTTTACTGTAATCCTGGAGATATTTACATTTGTCCAGGGTGCCTAATAGGGGGGAAAAAACATGCTTTGAGGTGTTTGAGGGAAAGAAAGGTCACACACACACACACAAGCTTTAAAAGATCACTTAGTGTTAAATTGTTGGTTCTCTTTTCACAGACGTGCAGAAAAACCTTTACATGGCTAAAGTTTTACCCTACTGATTGTATTTCCTGTGCTTACTGAATGAAGATGAGATTACAATAAGCATTTCTGACAAACTGAACTCACTAATGTGACTTATTGCACACATTTCTCATTCTCAAAATGTTTACTTATATTTTCTTAACCTTATGACTGGTTGTTACAAAGAAAGGTAAAATATTTAAAAAATGGCTTTTTTATTTTTATTGAGTAAATTTACTTTCCTGATACAGAGTATGGCACAGAAATATTAGAATCTAACTTGGAAAATAAAATATTCTATTTTTCCAGAAAGTTAATCAGATGAGAAAAAACTTGAAAGAAAACTTTTAAAATGTTTTGCTTTTTTAGAAATAGCAAAAGAATATTTTCTCTCCAGAATTATGAGACGTTTCATACTTTTCAAGTATGTATGTCAAGCCAGTGTCCTCTGTTTCCATGGAAAGATACCATCCTCTTTTGGCCTCTGCTTGTCTGAAGGCTACATATCATCCCCAGCAACAAGAAAATCTCTCCTCAGGTTTATGTGATACTACAAGTTGGCAGTGAGAAGAGTTTATTCTTGTGTGCTATATCCAAAAAGAAAAAAAATGTGTTTCCCCAATAGTTTACTCATTGCAGTTCAAACAGAGTTCACTCCTAGCAGGATACCACAATAAAAATCTCCAGAAGCAAAGATGTTTGCAATGTATTGTTATTTTATTAGCATCCTATTTAGAGGGCTGTTATATTGTGTTACTATAATACAGGAATATAGTCATTTTCATTCCAAAAGAAACCCATATCTCATATAGAGGAGGGGAGTAGTGAAAGTCAATAGCAGATACTTGAGAGGAAAAGTAAAACCCTCAGTGTCTCTCTCTGCCTCATTCTCAGACTGTATTGATGAGGAACATATATCCATGTATACCCCTTTGCATCTCCTATTGCTTTGTCCTATTTCCTAGCCCTCCAAATGCCTCCTTATTCTTTGGAAAGCATCATGAAACTGAGAAAAATACAAGGGGCTTGGAATAAGTTAAGCTTGACTTGAAATTCCAATTTCTACATGGTAACACTAGCAAGTCAGTCATTTGATTTTATGAGTTTAATTTTCCTCATGTTGTAATATGGGCATCACAACTGTCTCACACAGCTGCTAAAGATTCAATGAGATAGTATGTTGTCTACCAATGTTCAGCACATGGTAGGTACCCAGTCAAGGTTAGGTCCTTTCTCCTTCTTTCTTGCAATGTTTCTGATCTATCCATCATGCTCGCCTGTTCACTGAAGTGCTCCTCCACCATTTTTCACAAAAACTTTGCTGAGCAAATCTCTCAACCATGCCACTACCTCCTAAACCTAATACTTACCTACACCTCTTCAGCTAGATTCTCTGGTTGTGTCCTACTGAATTCCTTTTACATGCAATCCAATGTCCCCAATCAGCCTTGCCCTCATTCTCTCTCTTTCTAGAATTTCCTTGCTTCCTATCACTCAATCCCTCTCCACAGAGTATCCAGGCCCCTTCTTCTTAACAGGGACAGAGAAGATTGGGAAGCTTCCCATGGAGGCAGTGTCCAAGGTGGGAAAGTTGTGATCTTAAAGCATTCCTGGAAAAGCTCTGCAGACTTCTGAAAGCATAATACAATAGAAGGATAATGTCAGAATCCAAGAGAGATTGGTCCTGACCCAACCCCGGGTGAGAATGAGCAGATAAGTTGGGATTTGATAATGGAATAAAAAGCTCATCAAATATTGGGTACAACTTTCTAAGATAGAAGCTGCTCACAAAACACTCTTCACCACACTAGACTGAAAGATTTACTTTCTCAACATGTGTGTGAGAGAGTTTGAGAAGGAGAAGACATTAACAGGGATCCCAACCACCCAGCTCAAACCATTCATATCCCACTTGCCCTTGTTACTCGTCCATTTCTACAAGCAGAACTTCTCACTCTCTCCATACCAAATGCATCCTCCTAGTAGTGGTGAGAGACTCTGTCAATCAGAACTTAGAAAATATGGGTCTGGCTTCAGTGCTGACACTCATTAGCCATCCACAAGCTTGGGTCCCACAAGCTCTGTAAGCCTCTCTTTCTAGGGGTAATCATTTGGGGCATAGACCCCTTTGGCAGTCTGGTGAAGCCTGTGAAACCCTTCTCAGAAGAATGATTTTAAATGTATAAAATAAAATAAAAGGATTATAGAAAAAATTATTATTTTTATGCAGTTTGCACAGTTGTCAAATATTTAAAAAACAAAATTGTAGCATATACTAATATCTATGTTTCTTTATTAACACAATCAATAAAATGATCTACTGGAAGTTGTAATAAACACTGTAATTTTGAATTGGAGACTATTATAAATGATACCACGAGATAACTGCTACAATCATAAATATCTGGAAATATCTGTCATTTCTATAGGTGACCAAATTGCAGGTACTGTTATAATACTGTGATTTGTGGGCTACGTTGTTAATTGAAGAAAATGCAAAATCTCAGTTAGAGGTAAAGTGTTTTTGTAAGGTAAGGGAATTCTGCTAAAGGATCTTGTTTTAGACTGTTTGGGCGGCTATAACAAAACACCATAGGCTAGGTGGCTTATAAACTACAGAAAGTTATTTCTCACAGTTCTGTAGGTTGGGAAATTCAAGATCAAGACACCGCAGATATTATGTCTAGTAAGGGCCCACTTCCTGGTACCTCCACTTCTTCCTGTAACCTCACATGGCAGAAGGGGTGAGGGAGCTCTCTCAGGGCCTCTTTTATAAGGACACTAATTCCATTCTCTGCCCTCATGAAATTACTCAACTCCCAAAGGCTCTACCTCGTAACATCATCATATTGAAGATTAGGGTTCAACATGTATATTTGGAGGGGATACAAAGATGTAGTCTACAGCAGATCCCTAAGATCTCTTTGGACTCTGACATTCTGATTTCATCACTCGCACCAAGTCATTTCATTACTCCCTCTCACTCACTTCTGAATGCTCATCTCCTTATCGGACTGGGCTCCTTACCCTGTCGAATTTTAGAGAAAGCTATTTTAATGTTGTCTTCAACACCATATTTGAAATTCTCACCTCTAATATGTCACAATGGCTGTAATTTCCAATCCTGATTCATTTCAACCATCCTTTTTAGCTAAACCTCTCTGTGCTTCAGTTTCTCCCTTGTAAAATGAGAATGATAATGGTGCTCATCATGTAGCTATTATGAGAATTAAATAAGTTAAAACAGAGAAAGCACTTAGAACAGCATGTGGAACACAATGGAGTCACTAAAGACACTGTTTTCCTCTGATCAATAATATTAATCCATTAATTGGCTGCTAAGTATTCCTAGAGAATACTTAGAAGATACAAAACGTGCCACTTTGACCCACTGCAAAGATATACCATTCAGCTTCAGCTGAATCTCACCACTACTTCTTATTCTTTTTTCATCTCATATTCACAATTAATTTCTAAAACAATGAATGTGAGTGCTCAAGTACCCTCTAAATACTAAGGACTATTGCAGAAACTGGGAGTTGATTCATTAATTCATTCATTTACTCAACAAATATTCATTGAGCACTCACAGTGTGATGGGCACTGTTTTGAGCATTGGCGATCTAGCAAAGAACAACTGAGACAAGGTTTAGTGGAGCTTATATTCCAGCAAAAGTATTCCTCTTTGAACATGGCAGGCAAGACCCCATTCTTCTGAACCTTATATTCCAGTTGGAGATGACAGACAATGAATGCTCAATCAACAAGCAAATAAATGAGAAAATATCAGATAGTGGTAAGTATTACTACAACTCATTATCAGGCCAGCATTTTACTTTTCCCTACTTGTCTTCCATATAAATAATAATAATCTGTAGCCTTGCCTACCTCTTGCCACTATCTTACTTTTTTTCTGCAAGTGTGATATATGTATTCTAGAACTGTTCCTTCTGTTTTTCATCATTTCCCCCAGCCAGACTCCTATAATTTGAATTTCCATTCTTTCCATTCTACTGAAACTGCTTCTCAAAGGTCATTATTAATTCCCTTCTGATTAAAATTCCCTTTAGAGTCTACATCCCTCTGGGCCTCTCTAAATGGTTTTTGTATAATTTAAGTCTGCTTTTTGAACTCCTCTTCTTTTTGGAGTTACTGCTCTGTCCCCACCCGCTTCTACTGCTGTTTTTCCTGTATTCCCTTGGCTGGAGTATCTTCCTACTAATGACCCCTTTTAGGTGAATTCTCTGAAGATTCCATTTATTTGTACTCTGCTCTTTCCTAGCATCTCTCTGCAAATTACTTAAAAATCTGCACCTCAAGCCCTGTCTCTTCCCCGTTGTAGATCCAGTCACCTACATGGCATCTGCAGTCCGATGATCCGGCAGCCCTTGCAACTTTGTATCTTCAAAAACCAAAGACTCTCCTAGCTCTAATGTTGTCTTCGAGCACACTTCTCCTCCATCATGAGATGCCTGGTTGCTTCTCTTCCTCTTTATTATTGTATGAGTAATAATAAGGGCATAATAAGAAATTTCTTGTTAGAGATAAGACTGACAAATAAAAAATTAGAAAGTTATAAATGGTCGTAAACCTAACATCTATGAATTTTTGCTTCTTTGTGTTAAATGGTACAGAAAAGCCTAAAAGTGTAATTGTAAGTGAGGAAAGGGAGAGATCTTGGGACATAGGCCTAAAAGCTATGATGAGTATTTATTGAATGTTTACTATTTTTCAGGAACAGTGCCAAATTCTTTAGGTGGATTATCTTTTAGGTTTCTCTAAAAATCCCCCCATATTTTACAGACGGGGCTCAGAGAAGTTAAGTAACTTGACTAAATTCACACAGGTATTATTCATTGCAGCACTATTCACAATAGCAACGACAGGGAATCAACCTGAATGCCCTTCGATGATAGACTGGAAAAAGGAAATGTGGTACATATACACCATGGAGTACTATGCAGCCATAAAAAGGGACAAGAAGGGTCTCTATGCCCCTTCTCTCTCTTGCATATTAATATGAGTGGAATCCGATTCCATGATGATAATTGCACCACAATCAATGTTTGTATTGACAGAGCATTACTGGTTCTTATATGTGTGTGTGGCATCTCTCTCTGGCACTTGTCGATACCCTGTGCCTCCAAAGCATTAAGCTAAGCCAGGGCCTATATCCTTGGATAAACCTACCCATCTTTTCTTCTCTTCTTGCCACAAGTGTTGTTAGGTAATCTGATATTCTTTGTGTCCTGGTGTGGTTTTTTATTTGGAAACAGATGGTAAAAGATCCCCATTTGTGCTGGGTCACATGCAAAGCCCTACATTGTTGGTAGATTGGTGCCTCTGTACAGTTTGCCATTATTTCTTGTGCACATCTCTCTCTTGGGACCTCATGAGAAAAGGAGTAGCTGTGGGCCTGAGGAAGAAGCAGGTGTTACTGGATTTCTTGGTCAAATGTCAAGTAATATAATAAAATCCTCACTCAAACCGTTAACAATATTCATACTACAATGTTCAGTTTAAATACCTATTTTAGGGCTGGGCACAGTGGCTCATACCTGTAATCCCAGCACTTTGGGAGGCTGAGGTGGGTGGATCATGAGGTCAGGAGATTGAGACCATCCTGGCTAACATGGTGAAATGCTGTCTCTACTAAAAATACAAAAAAAAAAAAATTAGCCGGCTGTGGTGGCAGGCACCTGTAGTCCCAGCTACTCGGGAGGCTGAGGCAGAAGAATGGCGTGAACCTGGGAGGCGGAGCTTGCAGTGAGCGGAGATGGATGGCACCACTGCACTCCAGCCTGGGCAACAGAGCGAGACTCCATCTCAAAAATAAATAAATAAATAAATAAATAAATAAATAAATAAATAAATATAAAGAAGAAAATACTTATTTTGTAGCAATTAATAGCATAAGCTGTACATTAAAAATGCCCTGATTATGAATCTCAACTCCACTATTTAATGCCTCTGTTAATTTAGTCTAGTTACTTAACTTCTCTGAGCCCCATCTGTAAAAAATTGGGGATTTCTAGAGAAGACTAAAAGATAATCCACCTAAAGTATTTGGCACTCTTCCTGTAAAGTAGTAAACATTCAATAAATGCTCATCATAGCTTTTAGGCCTGTATCCCAAGATCTCTTCCTTTCCTCGCTTAGAATTACACTTTTAGGCTTTTCTCTACCACTTAACACAAAGAAGCAGAAATATATAGAATGTTAGGTTCACTAACATTTATAACTTTCTAATTTTTATGTGTTGCTCTTATCTCTAACAAGAAATCTTCATATCCTTGTAGGTAGGTTAAACTTAAAACTTACCCTTCCTATGTGACTTCAAGAGTGACCAGCACCACGCCAGTGTACCTCAATGTCATATGATTGGCCAAAATGCTACACAGCAACATAACCCAGCCATACTTTGATCAGATTGTCAATAAATGTTTTGACTACAGGTCAAAAAATCTAAGCTGGCACATGGACAGCCGCTTCACCATCAGTCATACTTCCTGTGTTGTAGCAACTCTTCCTGCAGCATAACTCTGCAGAGGATGGATGTGTCAACACAATATTTGCCTACCTGATACACGGTGAGCTAAGATAAAGCAGGAAGAAAGCCCAGTATTTCTCCTGACCATGATTTCAAATGAAGCCACGTCACTGCAAATGATGAAGGAACAGAAGCAATCTAGGATACAATCCCCAAAGTAAGTTGACTCATATTGAGCAAACAAGCCATCTGTATTTCAAGACCAAAAAAAAAAAAAATTTGAATCACAAATAGCAACAAATAACAAATAGCTTTTGCCTCATTATGTTATGATTACTGGAGGAAGTATTTTAGATAACTAACATACCTACACAATATCCATCACATGATGTTGTAAAAAGTATTATTTTATTGAACATATATTGGCATTCCATTAAATATAATTTAAGTTCAGCAAAATATTTTAGAGAATCTTTTAAGCTGAAATCTGGCCTTTATACATATGCATGAACTCATCTTTGAAGAGCAAAAGGAAGGAGAAGTTTAATAATTTCTCACTTCTGTTTTTTCTCATTTGCCAGCCCCTTCAAACTGAGAAATTGCAACATTTTTTTTTAAAAAAAGGATCTCTTTATCAACATCATGTGCTTCATTCCCTTCATGAAGGGGAACTAGTAAAGTTTGAGCTTACCACTTTACCGTCATCGCACTGCAATTATAGGGTAAAAAAAAAATGAATACTCTGGTCCAAAGAACAAGGTATTATTATGTTTAATGTTGTTATTTGGGCAATTTGTTTTTTTTCTTCAGTCCTTAATCAAACTTTAATCAAGCCAAGAGCCTAAAGCAGAGTCTTTCGAAAAGAAAAATGGCCAAATGCACATGTACAATCACCAGCGCCAGGTGAGTAACTCTTCTCTCTTGTTCAGCAGATTGTGAGCCCTGATAGTACATCAGACCTCAACTTTCTCAGTGTGCTTTGGCAGCAAAGAGAGGCAATGCAATTTTAGGCCGTGTACACAAATGCATCTGTCACAGAGTAGGGGAAGAACGCCCTGATGTTGCCCTTAGGAAACATCATCCAGCATGAAATATGGTGTGCTCTTCCAGCCCTTACAAATCAGGAAAGTTTTGATCAAAGGGGGAAGAGCTCAGAAGGGAATCACAAATGTGGATGGAGGAAGAGCAAAAGTTTTTAAAGACCGTGGCAGACATTCTGTGGCCAGACAATGACTAAGAGGTATGGGAAAGCGTTTATGAGCAGAAGGAAGCAGTAAACATGCAGGAGAAAGAGGGATCGTTTGGGGTGCACAAAAGCAGAATAACAGCAGTAATGAGATGAAATTGAGCAAAGGAAAACTTAGGCAGCACATCAAGGAAGAGTTTGCTAACAGCAAAGCCTATTAGACTGCCAAATGGCCTCTCAAGGGAAAAGGATTGAGCTCCATTGCCTGGGTCATTTAAAACAGGACTGGACAAAAGCACTCAAGGAAGCAGTGTGGTGAACAAGCCTGCCCTGGCAGGGGAGAGTCAAGATGACCTACCAGTTATAGTTCTATCCCTCTAATTTTTGTGATATATAACATCACATCATTACATTGCCTCCAAATGGGCTGCTCCTTAGGCTGCGGTTATAATGAGAGTGGATTACTTAGCCGGCAATGTACTCCAGAGGAAGCATGCAGTGGCCCAACCTGTAAACCACAGCTCATTAACCAGCAGCTACTCAAATTATTCTGTGCATCTCTGGCCTAATTCAAATTAGAATTGGAGGGTTTTTCCTGACAGGCTAGATGAAAGCTTCAAGTTCTCAGCATATTACAGTCTGTTTTTACTATGAGCTATGAATTCTGCATGTTTTTTAAACTTTGATTTTGTCTCAACAGATACAGAGGGAAAAAAAGTGCTAGGAAATAATTGGAAAATGTCAACTGACAAAAGCAGATTGCCTTCAGCATGGGATATGATGCAGCAATAGCTGATCACATAAAGCCAGTCACTTAGCAGAACAAGCCCTTTTCATTGGAATAAAACGTCATCTATCAGTATACTTGGAGGACTGCAATATACTTGTAAATGGGTATGGGCCTCCAATAAACCCTCCTAATACTAGTCCATCATGGCTAAGTGAACACCTGTTGGCTTCTTCATTGCTGGTCTTTATTTTCAGAGTACCTCCTGATCTTCAGATATACATGTCAGGTATCCAATGCACCCGGGTTATGCAGACATTGAAATCAAGTTTATCTGGGGTCAGCACAACAGCCTATGCTGAACGTAGAAAAGATGCACTTTTAAAAATATTTAGAGCAGACTATCTTTTAACTGTTCCTAAAATATCATCATTATGTATACACATATCTTTTTACATTCCATACAATATTTTTATATAAATAAAATCTGCTGACTTCCAGTCATTTCAACAAACATATTTAGTGTACCTGCTAAGTTCCAGACACTACGTTAAGGGGACCAAAGGGGAGGAGAGACAAATAATTACAAAGATGAACAAAACATGGCCCCTGCCTTCGAAGAACTCATGGTTATGAACTGACCCAGCAACCCCTTTCATTACAGCCAGCCAGGGAGACAATGCCGCAGGTGATCAGAACCCTTCAGCATAGCTCTGGACCTCACAACTCAGTTCCTGGTCAGGGAGTTGTACCCATTCACATTATTTCCACCCTAACACTCACTGTTTCCAGAACTGTTCTAACAGCTGATTCCTTTTCAGCTTTTTTTCCTGTATTCAGATCTTCATTCACCCCTGAGAATAATAGCACTTCTTGCCCTTCCATCTATATTCCTACTCAGACACGACCTGTCCTCACCCATGAATCCTATCCATCTCTGGCCCCTCCTGGTATATCCCAATCCAGTAAAATTCTACCCATGTGAATGGAAATTCTTTCTAATCAGACCCAGAGCCACAAAGCGAGGGATGCACACAGTTCATATTCTAACAACAGGCATGTTCAGATGTCCAAAATTAATAATAAGACAATGTGTTATAATGTCTCAGGAAAAATAACAAATAAAAATGTCATAGCAGTATATTGGCAGGAAAGATTATTTCTGACTAGGATGATAGAAGGCAGCTTCATGAAAACGTGATGTGTTGAGAACAACCTTAAAGAGGAAGGAAGAATTTATCAGGAGTTAGTTAAGAGCAATCTAAATGAGGGGAAGAGAGTGAACAAAGGAACGGGGTGAGGGGAAAGCCTGGGACACTATCAGCTTAAGGAAATAGACTGGGGTAGAAGGGAGGTTGTTGGCAAAGGCTCACAAGTTAATTGGAAAGGAGATTTGCATGGCCTTGAATTCCATGATAAAGATTTTGAACTTTATGCTCTATGGAATGGGCCATTAAAAGTCTTTCAGTAAGGATGTGATACAATCAGCTGTGCTCTAAGAATAATACTTTGGCTGCAGTTTAAAAGATAAATGGGAATTGGGGGAGGTAACTATGGAACAAAACATTAGGATGAGATATTTATTCCCCTCAGAAGGTGAGCTGAACATCTTCTGCACGCCCGCAGAGTCGCTTTTCTGTCTCCCGTACCTGCTGTCTCTCCTGAAAGACTGACTGCCTCACCAACTCTCCTCCTCTAGTTTCCGCTAATGTTCAACCAAAGGCAAGGACCCACAGGAGATCCGGGAGGAGGAGGAGAGTAAGCTCAGGTACATATTTCCTCAGTTCCCTCCCTGCAAGGTTACCTTGGGTGGCTGTGTCCTGTCCCAATAGAAGGTCATGGCTCCTGTCAGTGGGCCCCCTCCAAGCCCACCCCCCATCTCTCTCTAAAGTCCAGGAGCTGTTCTCTCCCCTCACGCCTTCAGGCCTAAGGGTCGCAGTAGTGGCCACCTCTAATAATACCACATTATCCCTGATGGTTTGTCAATAGCCTGCCCATACCTTGGCAAATAAGCTCTTTACCTAAATTTTCTTGACTTCCTCAGTGTCATGTGTCAGGTGCAGGAGGCACTAAATGCCCTTGAACCACAGTGATGTCCAAGAGCATAGAGAGGCAAGGGTAGTGCTCCTGAGGGCACGAAGCTAAAAGGCTCTTCCTTGCTGAGGAGATAATAGCTATGGTAAGGCAGCCATCATAGCTTAGTTAATTTATCCCTTTCAGATTGATGATACAATCAGAAAACATTTCTGACACTCAATCCATGTCTGCTGGAAAAGGGATTTTAGTTGTGAGGTGGATTCATGATCACACAATTTGCTTTAGAGGTAAGAGAGTACACAGGGTTTTGAAGTCAGGTGAACACAGCTCTCAGGTACAGCAGCCCAAGGCTAGGTAGCTGTGATCACAAAAATGAGGCTTCCTTTAGCGCAGGAGACTAGACGTGTGACTGTTTATATAATGTATGCAAAGGCTGGAGCTGGAGAGGAAGGCATTGAGAAAACGGAGTGCGAGATGCTGAAGCTGCAGTTCTTTGAGCAGAATTGTAGAAGAAAATGTTTGGAGTCTTCTATGTGGGTCTATATAGTAGTCTATTCAAACAGATCAGATAATACCTAAAGGGCAGGTGGCTTATTTGTTCTAAATGCAGCAAGAGGTAATGGCATGCTTAAGTCATTTCTGCAGCAGCCTGTAATTTCACAAGTGCTCAAACATTTCCTTTGACAGCTGTGCGGTGCGTTCATTATGTTGTCAATGTGAGCTCTATAAAAGAGAGAGAGTGCCTGGTAGGAGAAGAGCTGGGGAGAGCAAGTGTTCAGTGTTTTTTATCTCTCCAATTGGTTTAAAGCAATCAAGTAAGGCAAGAATCCTCTATCCTGAAAATATTCAAATTGCCCATTTCACACACTATTCCATCTTTTATAGAAAGACAAAGTTAATCTTCCATGATTTACTTGAAGTTAGTGATTACAAGTTATCTACTTTTTGACCAGCCTTATCACATTCTCTGGAAATATATTTAAATAGAGTGCAAGAGAAAATTGAATGGCCATAGGGAGGGGGGATGCAGAATTTTTTAAAAACTACAACTCAAGTTAGTCATGCAAATAGAGTTCAAGAAAATTTGAAAAATAAAAATAAATAACTTTTCAGAATTGAATTATGAAAGAAAAGGGAAAAGGGGTTGATTTTTCCCCTAATATCAGAAAGACAACATGGTAAATACCACATAAGGAAAAATAAAGGCTGGGGAGTTGTTCTCGGATCTTATGAGCTCTTGGCACTGATTAAAGCAGCTGCGATTCTGACGAATGCCACTGTCCCTTTCTTTCTCAATCAGCATTGCTCCCCATGGAGAAATGAAGGTGGGAACACCACAGAAAACCAAGCAAAGCCTTTCTAGCATTCCTCTTTCCGGCCTCTGATGTGAGTGCTTCCAGCTGGGAATAAGAGTGAGCAGCAGCAAGAAAACTAAAGTAGGTACTGTCTGGATGACATCAACCAATTAGAGAAATGGAAAATTTCCTTCAAATATGGATCAGCTTACTGACCAACCCCCAAGAAAGCACACTTGACTTCAGCTGACTGTCCTACAGATGTCAGCACACCAAGTTAAGGATTTTTGTTTTTGGTGTTTTTTTTGCACCCTGACACCTGTTAAAATAGTTCAATCAATTGACTTAATTTTCATTCACCTCTATCAACTGTATGCTGCGCTATTAGTTCCTAACTCCAACGGATTGAAAGGTATCCACAGCAGCTGGTGACCCTGTGTGATGCTGATGAGTCCTTCTTCTATGTTTTGTTTTGTTTTGTTTGGCCTTGCTTTGAGGGCAAAGCAGTCTCATGGTCCTTGATATATTAAACGTTTTAATAAGTGGATTTTCAGCAAGTCCCAGCAACCACAGACTTTAAAAAGCCCATAGGTCCAAAGTTGGCTTATTCTGTGTTTGCCTTGCTTACTAATGGTAACTAATTGCCTCAATTAGTACTAATTAAAAAGGTATGATCTCTGACATGAGCCTGCTCTAGTAGAAACAATGGGGGTTTCTGATGGGACACAACAAATACGCTGATTTAAACTAATTAAGGGCAAGACAGCTTGAGTGGAAAGTCAGAATTAGATGATACCTTTAAAGAAAGCCCATTCACAAACACTTACTGAATACTTTTGATGAGATAGGGCATGGTTCCTACTTTCTGGAAATGGAGAATTTAACTGAGGAATTAAGATATGAATTCCCATCCCCCAAGATTTCTGGTTCTGTACAATTAAGTAACAATTAGGTCTATAATTTGGGAGGAAAAATGAGAGGTATGGCAAGAAAAACTAAGTTGACATCCAGATATCAGATATAAGCTAACAATCATTAAGTATTTAATCAGTGCCAAACATTCTTCTAAGTTCTTCATATTCTATGTAGTAGGTACGATCATTTACATCATCTTATAGGTGAGAAAACTATAGAAAGGTTTGGAAACCGGCTAAAGGTCACATAGCTAGTAAGTGGGACATGCTGGTGTCAGAGCCTGTACGCTTTACCTATTTTGTAGCTAATACCATATATTAAGACTTGAAGAGAGAAACTTCCCTGTTGAACACAATAAAAATTGCATTGTGTCTAAACAGAACAAAACATTAAGGAAAATTGTTAATAAATACATGGCAGACGTTTCCACATAATGGAAATCCTTTCCGCTATTCCAATAGCTTCCTACCCAACCCCAACTAATAGTCCTAAAATACAGAAAAGAGATGAGAAAAAGGTGAGGAGCTGAGTTAAGGATAGAGAGAACGGTCTGCAGTCAAGTGGCAGTTTAGAGGAGGGAACGCTGAAAGAATTCGCCCTGTGTTCGTTCTATAATCTCTGAACTGGCCTGATTGTGTGATCCTATGATTCTCTAATCCTACTGGACATAGGGTGAATCAGAAATAATACACAGATGCAATAAGACCAGTAAGTACAAAACTGTATTCTTTTGCATTCATTTATTCATTAAGCAAATTTTACTGGGAGGCTAATTTGTGCTTGATATTCCCTTAGATATTGTTGATACATTGGTGAGCAAAACAGACACAGGACCTTGGGTATAGAGCCAACAGCTATGTAGGGAACTTCTTAAACAAATAAATACATGATAAATGCACTAGAAGCCGTAAAGAGATACGGTGTACTCAAATGCATATAATAGGGTTGTTTCAGGGAGCTAGGGAAGATCCATATTTGAGGAACTGAAAGAAGACCCTTTGCCTTGTGCCAGGGTGAAGCAGAGGGTGGCATGATGTGACCCTGGAGTGGTCAGGAAAGACCAGATCATGGAGAGTCCTATAGGCCACGTGGAGTGGTTCACTTTTCATCCTAAAAGCACAAGAAAAATATAGAAATGTTTTCAGGAAAGGTGATAACAAGATGTATCTCTTCAAAAGATGACCCAACAAGACTGTAGAAAAAAATAAGGAGGTAGCCAGGCACAGTGGCTCACATCTGTTAATTCCAGCACTTTGGGAAGCTGAGGTGGGCACATTGCTTGAGCCCAGGAGTTCAAGACCAGCCTGGGCAACATAGCAAAACCCCGTCTCTACAAAAAATACAAAAATTAGCTGGGCGTGGTGGTGCATGCTTGTAGTCCCGGCTACTTGGGAGGCTGAGGTGGGAGGATCCCTTGAGCCCCGGGAGGTAGAGGCTGCAGTGAGCCGTGATTGCTCCACTGCACTCCAGCCTGGATAACAAAGTGAGACCCTGTCTCAAAAATAAATAAATAAGCTTTTAAGTACTTCAAGTTGATAGTTTAGATTCATATGATGACAGTGGCAATGAACATGTGTGGTCATATTCCAGAGATAGGAGAGGAAGTTAGCAGTACTTGACGATTGGTTATTTACGGAGGTGTAGGGAGAGGAATGGATGGATATACTAAGGACATACCAGGAAAATTGGTGGATGATGACATTATTAGTAAGATAAAAAATCCTACAGGAAGAGCAGGTTAGAGAGAAAAGATTGCATTCTGTTTGGGACTTGTTTTTGAGTTGCCAATAAAAGAGATAAATAAAGATAAAGGATAATTTGATAAATATAAGTGCCTGGAGCTCAAAGAAAAAGTCTAGGCTGGAGATACAAATTTTAGAAGTAATATATAGTGGCAATTAAAGCTGTATGAATAAATGAGATCACCTAAGAGTAATGTATGATATAAGACGACAAAAAAAAAACCTATGCCTTTTAAAATGTGGCTTATCCTAAATACTAAAACATTCTAATATTTAAGGGAAACTTAAAGAAAGAATAGCCAGAAAAGTTACAAGATATTCTGTCATGACAGCCCAGAAAATAGAATGTTTCTAAGGGAAGGAATAGAAATCTACTTGTGGTAATGGTGGCATAAGAAGATTGGGTTTTTCTATTCCACGTGAATCAAGTACTAAAGTGGGCAACATTATTAAAAATAACAATGTATGGGCACTGGAAAACAATCAAAGGCAAGGAACAACCTCAGAATTGTTTACTCATAACAAAGTGCTACTCAGCTGTGAGTGGGTAGCCTTCTTGCCAGAGGCCATTTCAATCCAGTGCAGCTCACACTAAAAAACACCTTTATCTTTATTTATCAGGGTGGTAGACCCAGTTCAGGGCAGGCAAGAGAACAACTAAAAATTTAACTGTGAGATGTGGGAAGTGAAAGAGTCACAGAAGTACTGATGTAACAAATTCCCCAAACATCCCTAGATAACTTCTATACTAAGCATGAATGCAGGACACCTTCAGGGAGCCTGGCAAATATGAAAAGCCTGAGGAGATGTGTAAATATGTTGTGCCTTTGAATGCATGCCTCAGCCCACATGCAGCTTGAATATATAAAGAATGTAAAAGAATTGAAAAACCCTACCAAACAATTTGACATCTATAGAACACTCTACCCAACAACAGAAGACACATTCCTTTCAAGAGCAAATACGATATTCACCAGGATAAATCATGCTGGCAATAAATAAGTTTCAATAATTTTAAGGCATTGGAATCATACAGAGTAAGTTTTCTGACCAAAATAGCATTAGAAATCAGTCACAGAAAGAAATGCTGGAAAACCCCAAATGAGTATAAATTAACACACCTCTAAATCACCTGTGAGTCAAAGAAAAAAGAGAAATTTAGAAAATGTTTTAAACTGAACCAATATAAAAACACAACATATCA
The DNA here is from genome assembly GCF_000001405.40 of Homo sapiens. Taxonomy (NCBI): domain Eukaryota; kingdom Metazoa; phylum Chordata; class Mammalia; order Primates; family Hominidae; genus Homo; species Homo sapiens. The sequence goes on along the minus strand of NC_000004.12, from coordinate 129,319,355 downwards.
AGATTTGTAGGCTATATCTAAAGCAGTGCTTAAAGGAAACTTTATAGTACTAAACACTTATACTAAAAAAGAGGAAAGGCCTCAAGTCAATTATCGAAGCTTCTACCTTAAGCAGAGAAGAAGAAGAAGGAGGAGGAGGAGGAGGAGAAGGAGGAGAAGGACCAGGAGGAGGAGGAGGAGACAATATTAAACATAAATTATGTAGAAGGAGGTTAATAATAAAGATCCGAATGGAAATTAGTGAAATAGAGAAAAGATAAGCAATAGAAAAAAATAAATGAAACTAAAAGCTGAGTCTTTTAAAATATCAATAAAGGGAATAAACATTTACATAGACTGACAAAGAACAGAAAAAGGAGATTTAAATTAGCAATATCCGGAATGATAAAGGCAACATTACTACTGACATTATGAAAATCAAAATGATTATGAGAATGTTACGGACAATGTTGCATGAATCAATCTGACAATGTAAATAAAATAGACAAACTTCTTGAAAGTCTAATGTTACTAATGTTAGTAACGAATGTCACATACTGCTAATGGTCACTTTTTAAAAGTTTTTAAACTCTAAATGGATTTATATAAAGTGAAATAAATTGAATTCATAACTCTTTAAAAATCCTCCTTTAAAGAAAGCATCAGGCCCAAATGACTATATTGATTAATTCTACCAAATATTTAAGAAAGAAATTGTAAGAATCCTACCAAAAAATGCAGGAAATAGACAAGAAAAGAAAAATTCCAATTCATTTTATTAGGCCAGCATTACTCCAACAAAGACATCATAATGGAAAACTACAACCCATATTCTTGATAAAATCTTCATAAAAATTGACGCAAATATCCTTAGCAAAATTTCAGCAAACTGAATCCAGCAACATATTATACATATTCACAATAAAAAGTCTTAGTAAACTAAAAATGAAAGGGAATGTCCTCAACCTAATAAAGAGCGTTTATGAAAAACCTGCAGCTAGCATCATAATTAGCAGCATAGTGGAGTGCTTTTAGCCTAATATGAGAAAAAGAAGATAAGGATACCTCACTTTTTTTAACCTTGTACTAAATATCGAAGCCAATGCAATAAGACAATGAAAAGAAACAAACGACATGCAAATTAGAAAAGAAAAATGTTCTTTTTTTGCCAACATGTTCTTGTATGCAGATAATTCTAAGAAATCTACAACATAGGCCGGGTGCGGTGGCTCACACCTGTAATCCCAGCACTTTGGGAGGCTGGGGGGGGGGGGGGTGGGCAGATCACAAGGTCAGGAGTTCGAGACCAGCCTGGCCAACATGGTGAAACCCTGTCTCTACTAAAAAAGTATAAAAACTAGCCAGGCATGGTGTCATGTGCCTGTAACCCCAGCTACTTGGGAGGCTGAGGCAGGAGAATTGCTTGAACCCGGGAGGCGGAGGTTGCAGTGAGCTGAGATCGCACCACTGCACTCTAGCCTGGGTGACAGAGCAAGGCTCCTTCTCACAAGGTCATAATAGATCAATATATAGAAATCAGTTGTAGATTTATATATACTAGCAGCAAACAATCTGAACTTGAAATTTTAAAAAAATTCCATCTCTAATAGCCTCAATAAAACATTTAGCAAAACAATTTAAAGAAAAAATAAAATGCCTCACAAATGACATGCAAGACCTGTACAATGAAAACTAAAGATTGCCAAGAAAAAAATTTAAAACGTCTTTAAAAATGGAGATATTCAATTTTCATTAATTAAAAGATTCAATACTGTTAAGATGGCCATTCTCCCCAAGTTGATCAATAGCTCAACTTGCAATTCAATTGCAATCAAAATTCTCGTAGGCTTTTGGGAGAAACTGGCAAGTCAATTCTAAAAATATATGACAATGCAAATACCTGGAATAACCAAGACAATTTTATAAAAAAAATAAAGTAGAAAACATATATAAGCTGATTTTAAGACTTAAACCTACATTAATCAAGACAGTATAGTAATGATATAAAAATAGACATTAGAGTACAGAAATAGACTCACACTTATATGGTCAATTGATTTTTTTACAGCTACCAAATTAATTCTACAGGGAAAAGAGTCTTTTACTTCTTACTTTTTATAGTTATGAAATTACTATATATCCATATATTTTTTAAAACCCTTGACTGATTTCTTACACCATATACAAATATTAATTCAAAATGGATTATAGTCCTAAGTATAAGAAATAGAACTATAAAATTCTAGGACACCTAAGGGGAAACATTGGAGAAATTTTTCTGACCTTGGATTAGGCAAATATTTTTATGCAGCATATAACAAACACTAGCCATAAAAGAAAAAAAAAAGAAAAATTAGACTTCACCAAAATTAAGCACTTTAGCTCATGGGTTTTGTTTGTTTGTTTGTTTGTTTGTTTGTTTTAGTCTTACTCTGTTGGCCAGGCTGGAGTACAGTGGCATGACCTTGGCTCACTGCAACCTCCGCCTCCTGGGCTCAAGCAATTCTCCTGCCTCAGCCTCCAGAGTAGCTGGGATTACAGGTGTGTGCCAGCATGCCTGGCTAATTTTTGTATTTTTAGTAGAGATAGGGTTTCACCATGTTGGCCAGACTGGTCTTGAACTCCTGACCTCAGGTAATCCACCTGCCTGGGCCTCCCAAAATGCTGGGATTACAGGCATGAGCCACCATGCCCAGCCTATGGGTTTCTATTAATAGAATTAAAAGGCAAGCCACAGATTAGAAAACTTTATTAGTAAAACACATATATATACTCTTATATATGTGTATATATATATATAGAAAGAGTTATATATATGAGAACTTTCATTCAGAATATATATTTATACTTTTTAAAAAACCTTTTATAACTCATAGGAATATAACTCAATTCTTTAAATCTGTAAAAGATTTAAACATACATTTTACAAAAGAAAATGTATGAATGGCCCACAAGCACATGACAGGCTAAACATCATTGATCATTAGGAAAAACAAATTTAACCCACAATGAGGTGCTACTACACATCCACTAGAATAATTAAAATGAAAAATGTCACTGATGCTGCCAAGAAACCGAAATCCTCATGCCTTGTTGATAGAAAGGCAAAGTGGCACAGACACTTTTTTCTGTAAACAATATTTTTTCTTCCAAAAAAGGCGGGGGGAATACATGTGCAGAACGTGCTGGTTTGTTACATAGGTATACCTGTGCCATGGTGGTTTGCTGCACCTATTGACCTGTCCTCTAAGTTTCCTCCCCACAAGAGGCCCTGGTGTGTGATGTTCCCCTCCCTGTGTCCTGGTGTTCTCATTGTTCAACTCCCACTTATGAGTGAGAACATGCAGTGTTTGGTTTTCTGTTCCTTCATTAGTTTGCTGAGGATGATGGCTTCCAGCTTCATCTATGCCCCTGCAAAGGACGTGATCTCATTCCTTTTTATGGCTGCATAGTATTCCATGATGTATATGTACCACATTTTCTTTATCCAGTCTATCATTGATGGGCATTTGGGTTGGTTCCATGTCTTTGCTATTGTAAATAGTGCTGCAATAAACATATGTGTGCATGTGTCTTTGTAATAAAATGATTTATATTCCTTTGGGTATATAACCAGTAATGGGATTGCTGGGTCAAATGGTATTTCTGGTTCTAGATCCTTGAGTAATTGCCATACTGTCTTGGACAATGGTTGGACTAATTGACATTCCCACCAACAGTGTAAAAGTGTTCCTATTTCTCCACAGACTCGCCAGCATCTGTTGTTTCCTGACTTTTTAATAATCACCATTCCGACTGGTGTGAGATGGTATCTCACTGTGGTTTTGATTTGCATTTCTCTGACAATCAGTGATGTTGAGCTTTTGTTCATGTTTGTTGGCCGCATAAATGTCTTCTTTTGAGAAGTGTCTGCTCATATCCTTTGCTCACTTTTTGATGGGGTTGGGTTTTTTTTGTAAATTTGTTTTAGTTCCTTGTAAATTCTGGATATTAGACCTTTTTCAGATAGGCAGATTGCAAAAATTTTCTCCCATTCTGTAGGTTGCCTGTTCACTCTGATAGTTTCTTTTGCAGTACAGACACTTTTTAAATCAGTTTGGCAGTTGCTTACAAAATTGAACATGAATCACATGATTCTTCTAAATATCTACTCAAGAGAAATGAAAAACTATGTTCACACAACTTTTATGTGAATGTTTATAGCAGAGTTATTCAGCATAACCAAAGACTGAAAATAATACAAATGTTCAACAAGTAGATAAACAAAATATGATGTATCCAAACAATGGACCATTACTCAGCACTAAAAAAGAATGAACAGCTGACACATGCAACCATATGAGTGAATTTCAAAATATCATGCTAAGTGAAAGGGACCAGACAAATTTGTACATACTATATGATTCATTATTTATATGAAATTTCTTAAATGTCAAAAGTCATGACAGAAAGCAGATTGCTGATTTCCTGGGGACAGTTGAGTACCTAAGGAGCATAAGGGAACATTTGGGGATGATACAGTCAGTCTTAAACTGAATTGTAGTAACGCCTCGATGGCTGCATACATTTACCAAAACCCAACAATATATACATTTAAAATAGGTGAATTTGCTTTATGAGGCTGTTAAAAATTTAAAAAGCAAAAACAAAAAGGAGAGAGTAACTATACCAATAATTGCTACAAGGCTTAAAACAAAGAGGACAAATAATTTTCCATTGGAAATAATGTTACGAACATCACTTGTGACCTTAATGAGAATAGTGTTAGTGGTTTTATTGGAAGTAGATGCTGCAATGGAGTCAGTTAAAGAGTTTATGAAAAATGAGGAAATGGAGACATCCCACTATATATGCTAGATCCATCCTTATTAGCTGAAGAGATGAGAAGAATGGCAGTAGCTATACCCAGGTCCTATGCTAGCAGACTGTTCATGAGTAGGCATTTTGATCCAAATGACCTCACCTATCTTCCATCTTAGTAGGAGTGATGCCAAGTCCATCCCACTTGCCTTCACATCATCTCCTAAGGCCTCCTCCCCACAAATATTTACCCCCATGTGGAGAGGACAGCACCAGAGAGGGGTCCCAGAATACATATTTAGTGTTGGATAAAAGCATGTACACTTAAATGTTACATTAAGAACAATAGAATAGCTGAACTGGGTCACTGAGAAGTGATACTTCTATTGAAATGAATCTTAATAAATCCATCCTTTTCAATGATGACTTCTTGGCCACCGGATCTGACAGTGAAATTGGTATTCATATAACCCTCATTGTTCCTAACACCAATCCTCCAATTAAGCCTTGTGACGCCCCTTAGAATTCTAGAATGAAGAAGGGTAGAGAAGGGAAAAATGAAGCAAAGAACAGGACTCAGGGACACAGTCAACATGATGGCCTGCAGAAAAATTTAGCAACTGGAAAATCCCTTTTGGCAAGAAAATGAACTCTTTTAGAAAGGAACAGGAAGTCTAACATCTTTTAACTTAATTCCATGTAATTCTTTTTACCAATTCAAATTCATAAAATTTCTACACACACACATAGACACACGCAATGCATTCCAAGAAAAGTATTTCGGGAAATCAAGGAAAAGGGACTAGGTTCCATGGATGGATTAGCTTAGGGCCAATAGAACCACTGCAGAAGATGGCACAAATGAATTTGAGAGTCCTCAGGAACATATGACCATAAGAACATAAGCCTCATTTAATTCACAGATATATTGGTAGAGGCTTCAGTTGACCTTTCCACATTATAAGAGTTACAGTGTTTACGCTAATTTTATTTAAATCCCAAAGGATGAAGTGATCTTACCAAGGACCTGAGTTATACCTAAACAAAGAAGAAGCAAAAACATCTAAGAGAGAGAAGCCCAATTAGGAGGGCTGATGAAGAACAGGATTCTGGGCAGGAAGAGGGTACTATCATGGAAGTCAGCAAATAGGCACGTGGAATAAGCCAGGCCAATATCAAAGCCAAGAAGTCCACAGATAAGAAGCAAATTCAAGTTCCAAGTACAGAGACAGTTGTAGTACAGTAATTCAAAATATAGCATCTGGACCAGGCAAGATGGCTCATGCCTGTAATCCCAGCATCTTGGGAGGCCAAGGTGGGAAGATCACTTGAAACCAGAAGCTCAAGACCAGCCTGGGTAAAATGGTGAGACTCTTTCTACAAAAAAAATTTATTAAAAAATTAGCCAGGTATGGTGGTGCACACCTAAAATCCCAGCTACTCAGGAGGCTGAGGTAGGAGGATCACTTGAGCCCAGGAGGTCAAGGATACAGTGAACTGTAATGGTGCCAATGCACCCCAGCCTGGGGCACGAAGAAAGACCCTATCTCCAAAAAAAAAAAAAGCATCTGACATTAAACCAGAAACTGAATCCCAGTTTTTATACTTACTGGTAGTATTGCTGCAGTTTACTAATCTGAAAAAATGGTAATCAGCATACATACTTACCTCATACATTTGTTTTAAGAATGAAATAATAAATGTAAAGGCATTTAGAGTAGTTCTTGGCATATAGTGAGCCATTGATGTGTGTTGTTAATGATTGTTATCATTGCTGTTACTGTTACAGAGGGCAAGCACTGAGGATCTGGATAAGAGAAGAATTGGTAGGAAAACTCTTCGGTGTGCCCAAGCATCTCCAAAATGTTTTTTCAAAAGACAGGTGGACTTTAGCCCCTAAGAAGAATCTGATGCAGTCAATCTGGGTAGGACACAGAGGTCTGCACTTTTGTTAGTCCCCAGGTGATTCTGGTACAGGTGGTCCGTTTAAGAAATACAGTTCTAGAGGGAAGCCCTTGGAGAGAGTGATTTTTCTCAGTAGGCTAACAAAGAAGTTAACATCATTAAAAGGCACCCAAAAATTATCGCCTAGGAGACAGGACCTAGGATCCAGTTGGGAGGATATTACAACAGCTGGGGCCTGAAAAAAAAAAAAAGTAACAAACTTTGGCAAGGCCAGAGATAAATAAGGGCATAAAAAGACTTATATGAATTGTCGAATGACCTTTGCAGAGTAAGAAACTACAGGCCAGCCAGTAAGCATGGGGTCAGAGGAGAATCAGTCAGATCAAAGAGAACAACTAGGGCCTGGGATGCAGCAGAGAGGCAGGTCTATGGCAGCAGGGCCAAATGAAGGGAAAAATGGCATCGGGGTGGACAGGAAAGTAGATTAATTAGACAGAGATAAAATAGTAACAGTATTTTTAAATTAGAGATGGAGTCTCACTATGTTCCCCAGGCTGGCTTCAAACTCCTGGGCACAAGTGATCCTTCCACCTCAGCCTCCTGAGTAGCTGGGACTATGGGTTCACACCACCTTCCCTGGTATTTTAAAATATTATGTGTACAGGACATTATATATTCATTATTTTATACTGTCCTCAAATTAGTCCCAATTATCTCTTTGTTTTTTTTTTTTTTTTCATAATCCTAGTAATTCCCTTTTTCACAAAAGGAAGCAAGGCACATCACTTAGCTTGTCAGGAAAGGAGCCCAGAAGCAAAGCCAGGCCATCGGAGTAGAAATCCAGGCACTGTCGACTCCACCACTTGTTTGCAGAGGAATGGAACTTGTAGGCAGAGAAGTGGAGAGAGGACTAGAGAACTCCCACCCTCAAGATCAGGGAACACACCTCTCTGGCCAGGAATTTTTTTTTTTTTTTTTGAGACGGAGTTTTGCTCTTTCGCCTAGGCTGAAATGAAGTGGCACAATCTCGGCTCACTGCAACCTCCGTGCCCCCACCACCACCCAGGTTCAAGTGACTCTCCTGCCTCGGCATCCTGGGTAGCTGGGCCTCTGCCTCCTGGGTAGCTGGGACTACAGGCACGTGCCCGCACACCCGGCTGATTTTTGTATTTTTAGCAGAGGTGGGGTTTCGCCATGTTGGCCAGGCTGGTCTCGAACTCCTGACCTCAGGTGATCTGCCCCCGCCCTTGGCCTCCCAAAGTGCTGGGATTACAGGCGTGAGCCACCAGACCCAGCCCAGGATCTCTTTTATCACCGAAAGAAACCATAAGGGCTAGTATGTGAAAACGTCAAAGATCCACTAGATATTTGGGGTGAAAATGGAAGCTCTTGGTGCTTTTTAGGACTTGGCTTAAAGAGACCGCTCATTCACAGCATTGTTTCTCCTCCCATTAATGCAACATTCTGTACTCACTAAAGTGCTTGATCTGACTATCTTTTAAGATTATAAAAGCTAAGACTATACAGTCTTTCTACAGGCCAGCAGTATGTTTTCCCTTAACCCTACAGTAACAACCCTACAGTGTCAGCTGCTAAATTTAAGCCACTTGAGATGTCTCACTTAGCAGGCAAGAACGAATTGAGTAAGTATGATTTAGAGCTAGAGTCTTAATTATAGTATTGTGTACCTGAGGTAATTATTCACATGATGTAGTGATGCTTGAGACTATTACCTGTGATCAACTCAATTAATGCAATTTGCCCTAGCCCACAAGTGAAGTAAATTACCTGGCAATCACAAAAGTCTCCTGATAGCTTCATGCTGATTATTCCAAGAACAGCTTCATAAGATTGTATATTAAGATACACACACTACACACACACACACACACACACACACACACACACACACACATACATATTGCATTTACCCACCCTTTTTAGAAGCAACCTCTCTGTCCAAGTTCCAGAGATATCAAAACACTGTTCTATCCCTTTTCCTGTCAGAACATTTTTCTTAAATGTTTCTTTCAAACTTTACAAAGTCTGAGATGAACACAAATGCCTCAGCTAAACCTGTTACTTTATGCCAGCCACTGAGTGGTACTGGAAAATGAAGAGGCCACATTCACATTGCACTGGTAATAGGACTTCAACATATCCGCACAGTATAATGAGATGTATGGTAATTTTTCACTTAAATAACAAGATGAGGAACATGATTAAAATGGAGTTGGTTTCTCAGTTGTTTAAAACCAGCATTTGCCTATATACATATAAGGAAACAATGCTAACCAAATGTTTACATTTTCCTTCTGAATTATGATAACTTGATTAGCTAAAGTGTAATGGTGAAAAATGTCCACTAGAATTAACCTACGGAAATTACCTCTCAATAGGGTGGTTGCAATATGACATCAGTAATGAAATATTCACATTTCAGCTATTCCTGAAAAACTTATGAAGTATCGGCCGGGCACGGTGGCTCACGCCTGTAATCCTAGCACTTTGGGAGGCCAAGACAGGCGGATCATGAGGTCAAGAGATCGAGACCATCCTGGCTAACATGGTGAAACCCTGTCTCTACTAAAAAAAAAAAAAAATACAAAAAATTAGCCGGGTGTGGTGGCAGGCGCCTGTAGTCCCAGCTACTCAGGAGGCTGAGGCAGGAGAATGGCATGAACCCGGGAGGCGGAGCTTGCAGTGAGCTGAGATTATGCCACTGCACTCCAGCCTGGGCAACACAGTGAGACTCAGTCTCAAAAAAAAAAAAAAAAAGAAAACTTATGAAGTATCTTTTCTCATTCAGTTTTAAGGTCAATAACACTACATCAAAAGGGATAAAGATCCATGCATATAACTTGCTTGGCATAAATTCCCTCAACCAGGTGAAGAACAACAAAAATATTAACTATATTTATTCAGCATCTGCTATGTATCAACCACTCTGTTAGCACTTTTCATGCAATATTTCCCTCCAGTGCTTAAACAACCTAATAAAGTATGTACAGTTATTATCTCAATTTTCTTATGTCAAAGCTAAGGCTAGCTATGCTAAGTAATCCAAGTTCACTTAATTAGTAGCGGCAGAACTTTTATTCCAGCCCAGGCCTGTCTCTGGCTATGAACACTGCTTCATGACATCTGTGAAACAGGAGGCACATAGCCTCCCCAGCTGGTGGTCCAATGCCTCTTTATACAGGAAAGAACAATGTGGTCAAGAAGCCTATGTTGTTATTAGATGGAACTAAAACTCAGGCCAATTGATTCTGCTTTTGGCCTTTAAATGATAAAAGACCATTTTAATTTTCTTCTTCCTGTTATTCTCTAACAAAGTTTATATATTTCAACAAAAAGGCTTCAGTTTTTTAATTAAATCAACTGTTTCTCATTCCTATTATCACTGAAGTAGAACATTTAATAATGAGAGTATTTGTTCACCATAGGTTTAGTGTGAAATTGTAATTCTGTTCCAACTTGCAAAGCTTCACATTTCATTTTTCTTGGCTTCAGAGCATATACCACATGCAGAAGGCTTTCTTGTAAGCAGAGTCCTTTAAGAAAGCAAATCAGCATTCTGTGAGCATGGTCAGCTCACCTGCTTAGCAGGGGCTTAATCACAATCGTGGAAGAAAATCACCAAGCACTTGGCAGTACTATTTTGATCAGAACCAATGAAGGAGTCTAAATAAAATTTTTTCTACTATTTAAGGTCAAACCAATCATCTTGGCAATTACTTATTACTAAGCCTATTGTCTACATTTTTCATCTACTAATCATCCTGAAACAAAAATTCTGCTTTAAAGATTGTAAGCTATATTTTTCTAGTCAAATGCAACATGAAAATAAATGTCATTAAAGAAATTAAGTATCACTCTTCCAAATATACCATAGGCTACATATTTTGGAAGCTTCTCCTACTATAGTAAAATTAAATCCTGGATAAATAACATATCTTTATGGCATTGATGGTTTATGATAAAACAAGGAGAATCTAAAACAAAGAACAAAAAGCTGAATAAGAATGATGATGAGATATTAAAATCTGAAAACCAAGTTGCCCAAGAATGTAGATTCCTACTGACATCAGAAAACAGCTTTGGGGTCCTTGCATGTGAGGAGAACTGAACTTGATACTCCTACATTAAGCCAGGAAACCTAGAAGGGGATTAAAGAAGTCCCAGGAGACTGAGCCTCAGGACCATTGGCATTACAGGCAAGATGAACCTGAACCCCATAGTAAATTAAGAACTTCAAAATGAATTAAAGTAGTCTCTGATGGGGCCAGAACTAGGGTGAGGCAAGAGAGGTAGTAAAGTGCAAATTTAAGAAGGCATACTTGCATGACCTTGGGAGTGAGTGCCTCCTTAAATTCTGCACCTAGACAACCTCTCCTGCTTAACTCTTGTCCCAGCCCTGGTCTCAGGTTGATTTGACAGCCTGGTTCTGCTAAAAGCAAATACAAATCTTCTAAGGTAAAAGAATTCCCAAATAGACCTTCAGGATTCCCACAGATGAATTTCAACCAAATATGAGCTCAAAAATATCACTAAAGAGACAAGCAAACAAGCACCAAGATTGAGAATCAGCAGAAACAACAAACGTTTTTCTTGGACACATAAGGACTTCAGATATTGTAATAGCAGATAACTAATATAAACTGTTTAAAGATATAAAAGGTATAATATTTAAATATATAAGACAGAATAAAAAATAAGTTATCAAAACAGTGTAGTATTGGCATCGGTATAAACACACAGATCAGCAGAACAGAAGAGAGAGTCCAGAAAAAAGTCTCATATGTATGCTGAATTAATTTTCAACAAGGATGTCAAGTGGTTAAAAGGATAATCTCTTCAATAAATGGCACTGGAACAGTTTGATATTTATATGCAAAAAATAAATAAATAAGTTTAGACTCTAACCTCACACACACAAATTAACTCAAAATGGATTACATATCTACATGTAAGAGCTAAAATATGAAACTTCTAGAAGTTTCTAGAAGAATTTTTTCCCTTGTAAGGCAAAGATTTCCCAGATATGATACCAAAAGCATATGTAGACAAGAAAAAAATGATAAATTGAGCTTCATCAGACCTAAAAGTTTTAGTGATCAAAAGAAACTATTAAGAAAAAGAAAAAACTTGCCACAGACTGTGAGAAAATATGTGCAAAGAATATATATAATAAAAACACATCTATAATATAAAAAGAACACTTATTACTCAATAATAAAAAGCAAAGAACTCAACTTTTAAGGTGAAAAAGATTTAAACAGACACTTCATAAAAGAAGATATAGGAATGATGAATAAAAATGTGAAAATATGTTTATAATTATTTATTAGGGAAATTCTAATTTAAACCACAATAGGATATCACTGCACAATCACTAGAATAGCTAAAATTAAAAGACTGACAATGCCAAGTGTTGACAAAAATGTAAAAGAATGAAACCCTTACATACTACTATTATATATTGCCAATAGGAAGTTAAAATAATACCACTTTGGAAAATTGTTTGGCAGTTTCCTTAAAAAGTTCAACATAAACTCACCATATAATCCAGCAATATCACACCTAGCTGTGATATTGCCAAAGAGAAATAAAAACATATACCCACACAAAGGCTTGTACGTGAATGTTCATAGGAACATTATTAATAATAATCAAAAACTAGGAACCGAAATGTCCATCAACTGGTGAATGGATAAGCGAAGTGTAGTGTATCCAAACAATGGACTATTATTCAGCTATGAAAGGTAACAGAATGTAGAGCAAGATGGTAGAATAAAAGCCTACACCCTTCATCCCCCCACAACAGGAACACTGTCTACACACCGAAAAGCACTGTCAAAAGAATAAAAACTCAGATGACCAATCACAATACCTTGTTTTAACTTTGTGTTACCTCCAAAAGAGGCATTGAGGAGGGCAAGAGAAAAAGTCCTGAATCACTGACACCACCCCTCTCCTATACCCCCCGCAGTGGCCTTGTGGTGCGAAGAGAGAATCTGTGCACTTTGGGGAGGGAGAGCACAGTGACTGGGGACTTTACATTGAACTCAGCACTGCGCTGTCTCCACAGAGAATAAAGCCGTGGTGGGCTCAGCCAGTGCCCCTGCATGGTGGGAGCATTTGGATCAGCTAGAGGGGTATCACCCATCTCAGGGATCAGAACTTGAGTTTCTCCACAAGCCTTGCCACCACACGCTAAAGTGCTCTGGAGTCCTAGGTAAGCCTTGCCACCACAGGCTAAAGTGCTCTGGAGTCCTAGGTAAGCCTTGCCACCACAGGCTAAAGTGCTCTGGAGTCCTAGGGAAGAGAGTCTAGGACACAAGGACTGTAATTCCTAGGCAATGCCTAGTGCTAGGCTGGGCTTAGAGCCAGTGAACTCGGGTGGCACATGACCTAGGGAAATGCCAGCCTGGTGCATCTAAGGGAGTGCTTGCACCACCCCTCCCCTAACCCCAGGCAGTACAGCTTAACAGTGAAAGTGACTCCTTCCTTATGCTTAAGGAGAAAAAAGTGAAGAGTAAAGATTTTGTCTTGCATCTTGAATAACAGAGCAGCCACAACAGAATAGGGCACCAGGCAGAGTCACGAGGCCCCCCATTCCAGGTCTTAATTCCTGGATGACATTTCTAGACACACTCTGGGCCACAGTGGAACCTGCTGCCTTAAAGGGAAGGACCCAGTCCTGGGAGTATTCATCTCCTGCTGAGTAAAGAGATCTTGGTGCCTTGAATAATCAGCAGTGATACCCTGACAGCATGCTGTAGGCTTTGGGTTCTGAGATGTGCTGGCTTCACAGGTGACCCAGCACATTTCCAGCTGTGGTGGCTACAGTGAAAGACTCCTGTTTGAGAAAAGCAGAGGGAAAGGTAAAAGGGACTTTGTCTTGTACCCTAGGTACCAGCTTGGCCACAGTGGGGTAGAGCAACAAGCAGGCTCGTGAGGTCCCTGAGTCCAGACCTGGGCTTTTGGGCAGCATTTCTGGACCTGCCCTGGGCCAGAGGGACACCCACTGCCTTGAAAGGTGAGTTCTAGTCCTTACCACAAGCTGACAGAAGAGCCCTTGGGCACTAACTGAGCATCAGCAGTGGCCTGGCAGAACCCCTGTAGACTAGTGGTGATGGTGGCCACAAGAAGAAGCTCCTCTGCCTGTGGAAAGGGGAGACAAAAAGTGGGAAAGATTTTGTATTGTGGTTTGATTGCCAACTTAGCTGCAGTAGAATAGAGTATCAGATAAATTGTTAAGGTTTTTGACTACAATCCCTGGCTCCCAGATAGCATCTCTGGACACACCCAGAAACTGAGGGCACTGAAGGGAAGAGCCCTGGGTAAGGCCCAGTGCTGCACTGGCTTCAGGTCTCACCCAGTGCAGTCCCAATGGTGGTGGCCATAGTGATGCTTGCATCACAACACCTCCCATTCCAGGTGGTACAGCACAGAGATAAAGAATGTTTGAGAGAAAATATGGGAAAAGAACAAGAGTCTCTGCCTGGTGATACAGAGAATTCTTCCAGATCCTATTCCAGACCACTGAAGTGGTATCTCTATGAGTCTAAAAACCATAGCATTATTGGGTTTGGGGCCCAAGTCCCTTTGAATACCTGGAAAGCCTTCCCAAGAAGGACAGACACAAACAAGCCTAGACTGTGAAGACTACAATACCTAACTCTTCAATGCCCAGACACCAATGAACATCTACAAGCATCAACACCATCCAAGGAAACATGACTTCACTAAATGAACTGAGTAAGTCACCAGAGACCAATCCTGGAGAAAAAGAGACATATGACATTTCAGACAGAGAATTCAAAGTAGCTGTTTTGAGGAAACTCAAAGAAATTCAAGATAATACAGAGAAGGAATTCAGAATTCTATTAGATAAATGTAATAAGGAGATTGAAATAGTTAAAAGGAATCAAGCAGAAATTCTAGAATTTAAAAATGCAATTGACATGCTGAGGAATGCATCAGAGTATCTTAATAGCAGAATTGATCAAGCAGAAAAAAAGAATTAGCAAGCTTAAAGACGGGTTATTTGAAAATACACAGTCAGAGGTGACAAAAGAAAAAAGAATAAAAAACAATAACACACACCTACAAGATCTGGAAAAGAGTCTCAAAAGGGCAAATCTAAGAATTATTGGCCTTAAAGAAGAGGTATAGAAAGAGATAGGGGTAGAAAGTTTATTCAAAGGGATAATATCAGAGAACTTTCCACACCTAGAGAAAGATATCAACATTCAATTTCAAGAAGTTTATAGAACACTAAGCAGATTTAACCCAAAAAAGACTACCCCCAGGAACTTAATAATCAAACTCCCAAAGGTCAAGGATAAAGAAAAGTCCTAAAAGCACCAAGGGAAAAGAAATTAATAATAATATACAGTGGAGCTTCAATATGTCTGGCAGCAGACTTTTCAGTGGAATCCTACAGGCTGGGAGAGAATGGCATGACATATTTAAAGTGCTGAAGAAAAAAAAGCTTTTACCCTAGAATGTTATATCCCATGAAAATATCTATTAAGCCTGAAGTAAAAATACAGACTGTCCCAGACAAACAAAACCTGGGGGATTTCATCAACACCAGATCAGATTTCCATCCTACAAAAAATGCTAAAGAAGAGTTCTTCAATCTGAAAGAAAGAAAATAATGTTCATGGACAACAAGAAATTATCTGAAGGTACAAAAATAGTAGTAATAGCACACAGAAAAATACAGAATACTATAACACTGTAATGGTGGTGTGTAAACCACTCTTTACTTAAGTAGAAAAAATAAATTATAACTACAATAACTTTTCAAGACATAGTACAATAAGACATAAAGAGAGACAATAAAAAGTTAAAATGTTGGGGGACAAAGTTAAAGTGTACAGTTCTTATTAAGTTTCTTTTTGCATGTTTGTTTATGCATTCAGTGGTAAGCTTTCATCAGTTTAAAATGATGCATTATAAGATAGTACTTGCAAGCTTCATGGTAATCTCAAATCAAAAAACATATGATAAATATACAAAAAATAAAAAGCAAGAAATTAAAGCATACTACCAGAGAAAATCAACTTTACTAAAAGGAAGACAGGAAGGAAGAGAAGACCACAAAATAACCAGAAAACAAATAACAAAACAGCAGGAGTAAGTCCCCACTTATCAATAATAACATTGAATGTAAATGGACTAAGATTTCCAATCAAAAGATATAGAGTGGCTGAACGGATGAAAAAACAAGACTCAGGCTCAGTGATCTGTTGCCTACAAGAAACACACTTCACCTATAAAGATACACATAGACTAAAAATAAATGGATAAAAAAGATATTCCATATCAATGGAAACCAAAAAAGAGCAGGATTAACTATACTTATGTTAGACAAAATATACTTCAAGACAAGAACTGTAAGAAGAGAAAAAGAAGGTCGTTATATCATGATAAAATGGTCAATTCAGCAAGAGGATATAATTATTATAAACATCAATGCATCCAACACCAGAGCACCAGATATATAAAGCAAATATTATGAGAGCTAAAAGAGAGATAGACCCCAATACAATAATAGCTGGAGACTTTAAGACCTCACTTTCAGCATTGGACAGATCTCCCAGATAGAAAATAAACAAAGAAACATCAGATTTAATCTGCACTGTAGAACAAATAAACCTAATAGATATTTACAGAACATTTTAATCTAATGGCCATAGAACACATACTTTTCTCCTCAGCACATGGATGATTCTTATGGACAGACCATATGTAAGGTCACAAAACAAGTCTTAACCCTTTAACTGTCCCCCCATCCCACCCATTACCCTTCCTAGCCTCTGGTAACTATTCTTCTATTCTCTCTATCCATGAGTTTAATTGTTTTGGTTTTGAGAGTCCCACAAACAAGTGAGAACACTTGATGTTTGTCTTTCTGTGCCTGGCTTATTTCACTTAACATAATGACCTCCAGTCCCACTCATGTTGCAAATGACAGAATCTCATTCTTTTTTATGGCTGAATAGTACTCCATTGTGTATAATACACACAATACACACACACACACAAGACAGCTTGTATATATATATATACAGTTACAAAGAATTGAACAAAACCTAGTATTTTATAGCACAACAGGGGGACTATAAATCAATAATAATTTAGTTGTACATTTTAAAATAACTAAAAGATATAACTGGATTGTTTGTAACACAAAGGATAAATGCTTGACAGAATAGTTAGCCAATTGTCCATGACATGATTATTATGCATTGCATCCCTGTACCAAAATATCTCATGTACTCCATAAATATATATACCTATTATGTACACCCAAAAATTAAAAATAAAAATTTTTTTAAAGGAACAAACTCCTGATGCATGCAACAACATAGATGAACCTCACAAACATTATACTACAACAAAGAAGCCAGATACAAAAGATTGCACATTATATGATTCTGTGATATGGTTTGGCTGTGTCCCCACCCAAATCTCACCTTGAATTGTAATGATCCCCAAGTGTCAAGGGCAGGGCCAGGTAGAGATAATTGAATCGTAGGAGCATTTGCCCCAAACTGTTCTTACGGTAGTAAATAAGTCTCACAAGATCTGATGGTTTTATAAATGGAGTTCCCCTACACAAGCTCTCTTGCCTGACACCACGTAAGACATGACTTTGCTCCTCATTCACCTTCCTCCATGATTGTGAGGCCTCCCCAGCCGTGTGGAACTGTGAGTCAATTAAACCTCTTTTCTTTATAAATTACCCTGTCTCAGGTATGTCCTTATTAGCAGCATGAGAACAGACTAATACATTCTGCTTTTAAGAAATTTCTAGAAAAGAAAAAACTATAATGACAAGTTAGAATAGTGGGTGTCACTGTGGGAGCTAGGGGTGAAAGTGGAGATTGACTCCAGATGAGCATGAGGGAACTTTGAGCTGATGGAAATATTCCAAAACTTGATTGTGGTGATGGTTGCATAACAGTATCCATTTCCCCAAAATCATCAAACTTCACACTCTCAATGGGTTAATTTTATAGTATATAAATTATACCTCTATAAAGCCATTTTAAAAAGTGAATACTCAACAATCACCAGTTTTGAAAAAGTACAGAATAACAAATAAAAATATAATAGTCAAATATAAAAGTTCTACAGATAGAATGTGACTATAGATGTAAACCAAAGTATTATATTTGATTTCTTGAATTGAATAACTGTAAGCACACTGTGGTCATATAAGGATACCCTTGTTCCTAGGAAAGTCACACTGATATGTTAAGAATTAAAAGGGTATGATACATGCCACCTTTCTTCACATGGTTCAGAAAAAATGAATCATGTGTGTCTATGTAGTGCATGGTGGGGGAGGGAGCAAAAATAACAAAGCAAATATTCCCTGTGTTATTATTGCAATATTTTTGAAAGTCTTTGCTTATTTCAACATAGAAAGTTTTTCAAAACTGGATCATTTGAAAAGACTATTAAAATAGACAGATTTCAATGAGATGATTGATAAAAATAGAAAAACAGCATTAGAAATGAAAAGGGGGATTTACCACAGACACAGTAGAAATTTAAAAGATAACAAGAGTATGATAAAAATTGTGTGTCTCAATAAATTTGAAACTAAGATAAAATGACTAAATTCCAAGAATTGACTATGCAGAGTTAACAATGCAATTTTGGGGCAATGCAATTCTAATAAAAATTCCAACACTGTTTTTTAATGAACTTAACAAACTGATTCTAAAATTCCTATGAAAATACAGAGACACAAGAATGGTCAAGAAGAATATAGGAAAATTTCACCTGCCATCTATTATAAAAAGTGATAATTAAGACCGTGTGCTTATGGCACAATAACAGATACATGGACCAAAAGAACAGAAGATCAGAAAGAGATCCACAGGTAAATGAACAACAGAGGCAGCAGTATAGTTTATTGTGGAAAAGATAAACTATTTCATTAAATTTTCCCAAGAAAATTGGCTATTAGAAGAAAATAATATTGGATCTCAATCTCACACCATACACACAAAAAATCAATTTCAGATAGCTTGAAGACTCAAATGTCAACAATAAAACTTTAAAATTTTTGAGAGAAATTATAAGAGACTATATTCATGACCAAGTCTTGCTCCTTCTAAATGCCTGTCTGCAAACTTCTCTTCATGTAGACATGTTCCTTTCCCTAAGAGAAAATTGGCCATCATCAAGGGTCCTGTAACAAAGCTTCTTGTCAGCTTTCAGGGCCGGTTATTCAGAGGATTCTACAGGACCCTAAAAGGGCCACCGGCATGAGAGAATTTTTTTTCATTACCTCAAAGTTATAAATTACTTCTTAAACAAGACGTAGAAAGTAGTAATCATAACATAAAAGGGGGTAAAATTGATTACATTACAATTAAGAATGTCTGTTTGGCAAAAGATATTTCACAGTGGAAGATGAGCAAAAACTAGGAACAATCCAAATACCCATCAATCAGAGAAGGATAAATAAGTTATGTTACATTCACACACTCTAATATTATGCAGCAGTGAAAATAAATGAACATTCAACCACTTGGACAAGTCTAAGAAAGAGAATGTAGGAAAAAACACAAGATATGCAAGACCAGGTACTATATAATATCATCTCTGAAATATTTAAAGGCAAAAATAATGAACAATATTGGCTAGGGTTGCATTACCTTTAAAGTAAGGAAATGATAAACACCAATTCAGGATACTGTTTACCTCTGTGTGGAAGGCAGGAGATTAAGCTTAGGAGGAGCCCTCAGTAAGCTTCAGCAGTGTCCAGTTCAGGGCTGGCGAAGTGGTTAGGAATTGTTTTGTTTTGTTAACTTGCTTCATAGTTTATATGTATATTGCATGTGTTCTTTTGCATATATCAACTATGAAAATGTCAATTTAAAAAATCAAGGATGACTTAAGAAAAAATCATGCCAAAGATCCAAAGGGGTTTATATGCTGTGGTTTTTTTTTTTATTTCAAATACCTTTTTATCGTGTTTTCACGGTAGTTTGTTTTTCTAGGAAAAACATGAGATTTTACTGGACAAGAGTTTATGCTCCTTTAACCTGCTCATATGTAAGACAGCAAGAAGGACATGTGGATTCCAAGGATCAGTGAGAGATAATTCTAATTAACATAGATTTCAAGCACATTTTGTAGGCTGAAATGAACTCTGGCATTGTGGGGAGCTTTGAGGAGCACTAATAAGACTAAACTAAATCATTATCCATGTAAATGAGGTAATTTATCTGAAAACACTGTACAAACATGAGCACATGCCCAATTATAAGGGACTGAACCAAGACAAAGTGAGGTTCAAATCTCGACTTTAACTTGTTGAACTGCTTTGAATAACAGACTCTTCATCTATAAAGTGAAGAAAATAATACTTCCTTAAAGAATGTGCCAACCTGTGGTGATAAACTAACCACAGTGTTAGAGATTAAGACACAAGGACCATAAACCTTCTTCTTACATAATTCCCCATGTAAATCACCATCGTCCTCAACAAATGTTAACTATAGCTACTATATTTCATTTCTTTATTGGAACCAGTGAAATTTTAATAACCTTCATAAATAATTGAATTAATGCAGTAAGAGTGCTTCTCCTATAACCCATTGGGGAGGTCCTTGAGAAGACAAAAGATCACTTTTACAATCAGTATAAATGCTTTAAAATTATAATAAAGTTTATAAAAACATGAGTGTAGCTGATCATGAGAGATTTTCATAAATATATAAGAATCCTTTCCTAGCCTTCACACCAGTCATCTCTGTCAGCAGAAATCACAAGAAAGCCTCTGAGACCCATCTGATCATACCAGGTATGCACCTTACCCTCCATCAAAACTCTAAGGAAAAGTCTCAGAACTCTACAGGGACCTGGAAAGAACCTTCCATCTTCCTCATGCTCCAACAGAGCCTCAAAAATTGCTTCGCCTCCCTCATCGTGAAATCATCGGAACTGACCATTTAATGCCCTTTGTGCACCTTAGGTATCTCTGCACGCCAATCCCTATATGGTCCATTATAGACCTTTTTCTGACCCCATCTTCCTGAGTCCTTAACTCTTATATTTTGTCCTTGAGAATTCAGTCAGCCATTGTCACATTCCTCTATGTGCTTTTCTTTCAAAATTCCCCTGACTTTCTTGATCTAAGGGAAACATGAATCTCCCTTGACAATACTACTTCTTCTGCAGCCCTCTCAAGTAGTGGCTGTATTTTTCTCCTTCATAGTGCTGGACATGGGGTAAATGTCTTTCATGCTCCTCCTTCTGCTCTCAGACCATTCATCTTCCTTCACTTTAGAAATTGCCAGCTATGTGGTTTTTTGAAAGGATCAACAAAATTGATAGACCACTAGCAAGACTAATAAAGAAAAAAAGAGAGAAGAATCAAATAGACACAATAAAAAATGATAAAGGGGATATCACCACCGATCCCACAGAAATACAAACTACCATCAGAGAATACTACAAACACCTCTATGCAAATAAACTAGAAAATCTAGAAGAAATGGATACATTCCTCAACACATACACTCTCCCAAGACTAAACCAGGAAGAAGTTGAATCTCTGAATAGACCAATAACAGGCTCTGAAATTGTGGCAATAATCAATAGTTTACCAACCAAAAAGAGTCCAGGACCAGATGGATTCACAGCCGAATTCTACCAGAGGTACAAGGAGGAACTGGTACCATTCCTTCTGAAATTATTCCAATCAATAGAAAAAGAGGGAATCCTCCCTAACTCATTTTATGAGGCCAGCATCATTCTGATACCAAAGCCGGGCAGAGACACAACCAAAAAAGAGAATTTTAGACCAATATCCTTGATGAACATTGATGCAAAAATCCTCAATAAAATACTGGCAAACCGAATCCAGCAGCACATCAAAAAGCTTATCCACCATGATCAAGTGGGCTTCATCCCTGGGATGCAAGGCTGGTTCAATATACGCAAATCAATAAATGTAATCCAGCATATAAACAGAGCCAAAGACAAAAACCACATGATTATCTCAATAGATGCAGAAAAAGCCTTTGACAAAATTCAACAACCCTTCATGCTAAAAACTCTCAATAAATTAGGTATTGATGGGACGTATTTCAAAATAATAAGAGCTATCTATGACAAACCCACAGCCAATATCAGACTGAATGGGCAAAAACTGGAAGCATTCCCTTTGAAAACTGGCACAAGACAGGGATGCCCTCTCTCACCGCTCCTATTCAACATAGTGTTGGAAGTTCTGGCCAGGGCAATCAGGCAGGAGAAGGAAATAAAGGGTATTCAATTAGGAAAAGAGGAAGTCAAATTGTCCCTGTTTGCAGACGACATGACTGTTTATCTAGAAAACCCCATCGTCTCAGCCCAAAATCTCCTTAAGCTGATAAGCAACTTCAGCAAAGTCTCAGGATACAAAATCAATGTACAAAAATCACAAGCATTCTTATACACCAACAACAGACAAACAGAGAGCCAAATCATGAGTGAACTCCCATTCACAATTGCTTCAAAGAGAATAAAATACCTAGGAATCCAACTTACAAGGGATGTGAAGGACCTCTTCAAGGAGAACTACAAACCACTGCTCAAGGAAATAAAAGAGGACACAAACAAATGGAAGAACATTCCATGCTCATGGGTAGGAAGAATCAATATCGTGAAAATGGCCATACTGCCCAAGGTAATTTACAGATTCAATGCCATCCCCATCAAGCTACCAATGACTTTCTTCACAGAATTGGAAAAAACTACTTTAAAGTTCATATGGAACCAAAAAAGAGCCCGCATCGCCAAGTCAATCCTAAGCCAAAAGAACAAAGCTGGAGGCATCACACTACCTGACTTCAAACTATACTACAAGGCTACAGTAACCAAAACAGCATGGTACTGGTACCAAAACAGAGATATAGATCAATGGAACAGAACAGAGCCCTCAGAAATAACGCCGCATATCTACAACTATCTGATCTTTGACAAACCTGAGAAAAACAAGCAATGGGGAAAGGATTCCCTATTTAATAAATGGTGCTGGGAAAACTGGCTAGCCATATGTAGAAAGCTGAAACTGGATCCCTTCCTTACACCTTATACAAAAATCAATTCAAGATGGATTAAAGATTTAAATGTTAGACCTAAAACCATAAAAACCCTAGAAGAAAACCTAGGCATTACCATTCAGGACATAGGCACGGGCAAGGACTTCATGTCCAAAACACCAAAAGCAATGGCAACAAAAGCCAAAATTGACAAATGGGATCTAATTAAACTCAAGAGCTTCTGAACAGCAAAAGAAACTACCATCAGAGTGAACAGGCAACCTACAACATGGGAGAAAATTTTCGCAACCTACTCATCTGACAAAGGGCTAATATCCAGAATCTACAATGAACTCAAACAAATTTACAAGAAAAAAACAAACAACCCCATCAAAAAGTGGGCAAAGGACATGAACAGACACTTCTCAAAAGAAGACATTTATGCAGCCAAAAAACACATGAAAAAATGCTCATCATCACTGGCCATCAGAGAAATGCAAATCAAAACCACTATGAGATATCATCTCACACCAGTTAGAATGGCAATCATTAAAAAGTCAGGAAACAACAGGTGCTGGAGAGGATGTGGAGAAATAGGAACACTTTTACACTGTTGGTGGGACTGTAAACTAGTTCAACCATTGTGGAAGTCAGTGTGGCGATTCCTCAGGGATCTAGAACTAGAAATACCATTTGACCCAGCCATCCCATTACTGGGTATATACCCAAATGACTATAAATCATGCTGCTATAAAGACACATGCACACGTATGTTTATTGCGGCATTATTCACAATAGCAAAGACTTGGAACCAACCCAAATGTCCAACAATGATAGACTGGATTAAGAAAATGTGGCACATATACACCATGGAATACTATGCAGCCATAAAAAATGATGAGTTCATGTCCTTTGTAGGGACATGGATGAAATTGGAAACCATCATTGTCAGTAAACTATCGCAAGAACAAAAAACCAAACACCGCATATTCTCACTCATAGGTGGGAATTGAACAATGAGATCACATGGACACAGGAAGGGGAATATCACACTCTGGGGACTGTGGTGGGGTTGGGGGAGGGGGGAGGGATAGCATTGGGAGATATACCTAATGCTAGATGACACTTTAGTGGGTGCAGCACACCAGCATGGCACATGTATACATATGTAACTAACCTGCACAATGTGCACATGTACCCTAAAACTTAAAGTATAATTAAAAAAAAAAAAAAAAAAAAAAAAAGAAATTGCCAGCTATGGATTCCATAAGTAGAATATACCTGAATCTCCAGTCACATTCCTCCTTCCCTGGAGATATTTGTTCCTGGCTTGCTGTCACACGCAACTACATTATGCCTGTAATTCTCATGATTTTAACATCTGTTTAAATGATGCTTCCAATGCCTCAGCCTCTCACTTCCTCAATCTTGTCCTCTGCCTGATCCAAATACTCACTTACATGGTCATATCCTATACCTGTGGTCATTAGCAATAACTACAATCCCTCCCAGACCTCAACTGCAAGCCTCCCACTCTCCAACCACTACCTCTTCCCTTTCTAGCTCACTGTGATCCTTATACAACGGTCCTTATACAATGCCCGCACCTACAATCAATTCCATTACTTTTCCATGATTCCTTACTTCTCTTGTGTCCTTTCTTCCCTCTTTAACCAGTTTAAATTTTCTTGGTCCATCATTATAACTCCTTTGTATCACCCTCAACTTTCTTGCTTCTCTTTCATTTCAATGTATTCACGCTGGTAAACCATAACCTTGGTTAATACTAAATCTCTACCTTGGCCACTCAGCACCATAGCAGCAGAACTGGCTGGAGAAACACAAAATTTGCTCGCTGGTCTCATTTTATATGTTCTACCTTTGACCTAAAATGAGCTCTAATGCTTCCCAGCAATCATACTGCCTTTCCCTGTTATATTCACACCTCCTTTCCACTAAATAGCTATTCACCCTTCCTACACACACTCACTGATGACCTTGCTTTCTGTTTCATGAAAAACATAAAACAGGCCGGCTGCAGTGGCTCACACCTGTAATCCCAGCACTTTGGGAGGCCAAGGCGGGTGGATCACTAGGTCAGAGTTCGAGACCAGCCTGGCCAAGATGGTGAAACCTCGTCTCTACTAAAAATACAAAAATTAGCCAGGCGTGGTGGCAGTGCCTGTAGTTCCAGCTACTTGGGAGGCTGAGGCAAGAGAATCACTTGAACTCAGGAAGCAGAGGTTCCACTGAGCCGAGATAGGGCCACTGCACTCTAGCCTGGGCAACACAGCACGACTCCTTCTAAAATAAATAAAACAACCTCAGAAAATACTTTCCTCAAGTTGTCACCACCAAAATAACCAGCCCCAAACTGTCCACCTCCAGAATATGGCCACCTTTGTTGCTTCATTAGTACACCAGGCACACTTTAGCCTCAAGGACTTCAAACACTGCTGTTTTACTGACTACGATGCTCTTTCTCTGCTAGCCACATGCCTACTAATTACCTCCTTCAAACATTTGCTTAAACAGTACCTTCTTAATGAGAAATGGCCACCCTATTTAAAATTGAAATCTAGCGCTTCATATCCTTCCACACTCCATATATTCATTCTTGCATTATGGTTCCTTCTAGTACTTGTCACCATTTATCTTAACACACTTTTATTTATTTAATTTGTTTATTGTTTATCTCTCTTACTACAATGTAAGCTCTATGAAGGCAGAAATTATTATTTTTTTTGAGACAGGTGTTTCACTCTGTTGCCCAGGCTGGAGTGCAGTGTTATGATCTCAGCTCACTGCAGCCTCTGCCTCTCATGCTCAAGTGGTCCTCCCACCTAAGCACCCTGAATAGCTAGGATTATAGGCGTGTACCATGACACCTGGCTAATTTTTGTAGTTTTTTGTAGAGGCTGGGCCTCAACACATTTCCCAGGCTGGTCTTGCTCCAGTGATCCTTGATCCTTGCTCAAGTGAGGCCTTCCTCGGCCTCCCACAGTGCTGGGATTACAGGCATGAGCCACTGTGCCCAGCCAGAAATTCTTATTTGTTTTGTTCATTGCTATTAATATATCCTCAGAACCTGAATAGTACCTAATATACAGAAGAGATCAATAAAGATTTATTGGGAAAATGAACGAATAGACATATCTCAAATTGTTTAATAAATACAAGAAATTATAGTAAGATTGTAGACACTTATTACATTATTTCAAAAATAAAATTCTTAATTATATTTAATTATATGTACATAAATATCACAACTGCAGAAGTGAAAAGTGTTTACTTCAAACCCTAGTGAGAAGTATATTCTGCTGAGTAGGGTATAAGATGAATTGGAATCCCTTGTGAGAAAAGAACTATAGTCCTGAGATATACGCACTATAGTTCACCACCAGCATCCTTCTTGTCCAGCCTTAGCAAGTCCCACAACAGTGGGTATTTAGTTTTCTTAAAACCACACACATGTGTGCAGGAAAAAATTAACATAATTGTTTATTTAACAGTAATCACAAAGTGATTTTGAAAATGCTAAAAGTGAAATTGCAACAAGCTTCTAAGTTTCTATTAGCTTAACTTTTCTTCTAATGATATAGGCAAAAGTTATTAGGAATAGGTAACTTAGTTAATGGCTCTGATTTTTTCAAAATAAAGTTTTAAGTTGAGGGTAAAGCATACATATTCACTGCAGAAATTTTAGAGAAATATAGAAAACAGGGGAAAAGTCACCCATAATCTTATTACCATCTTTGGCCTTTTTTAAAACATATCTTGGTTTTATTTTTAATACCGAAATTTAGATGACAATGAATGCTTTTTCTTCTAAGTAGTTGTCTTGGAGTACAATGTACAATTGCATCACTCCTGATGCAATTTCAGAAAAACATAAAAAATGGAACTCTCTTTTTCAGAATCATTTTCTAAGTATACATTACATTTTTAAAATAATTTCACTCTTTGTGCAGCATATCTCTGAAAGAAAGGCAGCAGCCCCATTCAGGGGCTTATAGATAAAACTCCCAACTCCCTGAGACAGAGCACCTGGGGGAAGGGGAAGCTGTGGGCGCAGCTTCAGCAGACTTAAACATTCCTGCCTGCCAGCTCTAAAGAGCAGCAGATCTCCCAGCACAGCGCTCAAGCTCTGCTAAGGGACAGACGGCCTCCTCAAGTGAGTCCCTGACTCCTGTGCCTTCTGACTGGGAGACATCTCCCAGCAGGGGTCGACAGAAACCTCATACAGGAGAGATCCTGCTGGCATCTGGTGGGTGCCCCTCTGGGATGAAGCTTCCAGAGGAAGGAACAGGCAGCAATCTTTGTTGTTCTGCAGCCTCAGCTGGTGACACCCAGGCAAAGAGGGTCTGGAGTGGACCTCCAGCAAACTCCAGCAGACCTGCAGCAGAGGGACCTGACTGTAAGAAGGAAAACTAACAAACAGAAAGGGATAGTATCAACATCAGCAAAAAGGACATCCACACAAAAACCCCATCCAAAGGTCACCAACATCAAAGACCAAAGGTAGATAAACCCGTGAAGATGGGGAGAAGAAACCAGTGCAAAAAGGCTGAAAATTCCAAAAACCAGAATGCCTCTTCACCTCCAAAGGATCGTGACTCCTTGCCAGCAAGGGAACAAAACTGGATGAAGAATGAGTTTGACAAATTGACAGAAGTAGGCTTCAGAAGGTGGGTAATAACAAACTCCTCTGAGCTAAAGGAGCATGTTCTAACCCAATGCAAGGAAGCTAAGAACCTTGAAAAAAAGGCTACACAAATTGCTAACTAGAATAACCAGTTTAGAGAAGAACAAAAATAACCTGATGGAGCTGAAAAACACAGCATGAGAACTTTGTAAAGCATATACAAGTATCAATAGGCAAATTGATCAAGCAGAAGAAAGGATATCAGAGATTGAAGATCAACTTAATGAAATAAAGTGTGAGGACAAGATTAGACAAAAAAGAATGAAAAGAAGTGAACAAAGCCTCTAAGAAATATGGGACTATGTGAAAAGGCCAAACCTACATTTGATTGTTGTACCTGAGAGTGACAGGTAGAATGGAACCAAGTAGGAAAACATTTCAGGATATTATCCAGGAGAACTTCCCCAATCTAGCAAGACAGGCCAACATTCAAATTCGGGAAATATAGAGAACACCACAAAGACACTCCTTGAGAAGAGCAACCCCAAGACACACAATCATCAGATTCACCAAGGTTGAAATGAAGGAAAAAATGTTAAGGGCAACCAGAGAGAAAGGTCGGGTTACCCACAAAGGGAAGCCCATCAGACTAACAGCTGATCTCTCGACAGAAACTCTACAAGCCAGAAGAGAGTGGGGGCCAACAAGAGTTCCTGAAGGAAGCACTAAACATGGAAAGGAACAACTGGTACTAGCAACTGCAAAAACATACCAAATTGTAAAGATCATCAACACTATGAAGAAACTGCATCAACTAACGGGCAAAATAACCAGCTAGGATCATTATGACAGGATCAAATGCACACAAAACAATATTAACCTTAAATATAAAGGGGCTAATTGGCCCAATTAAAAGACACAGGCTGGCAAATTGGATAAAGTGTGAAGACCCATCGGTGTGCTGTATTCAGGAGACCCATCTCACATCCAAAGACACACATAGGCTAAAAATAAAGGGATGAAGGAATAGTTACCAAGAAAATGGAAAGCAAAAGAAAAGCAGGGGTTGCAATCCTAGTCTCTGATAAAACAGACTTTAAACCAACAAAGATCAAAAGAAACAAGAAGGGCATTACATAATGGTAAAGGGATCAATGCAATAAGAAGAGCTAACTATCCTAAATATATATGCACCCAATACAGGAGCACCCAGATTCATAAAGCAAGTTCTTAGACACCTACAAGAGATTTAGACCCCCACACAATAATAGTGAGAGACTTTAACACCCCACTGCTAATATTAGACAGATCAGTGAGACAGAAAATTAACAAGGATTTTCAGGACTTAAACTCAACTCTGAACCAAGTGGACTTAATAGACATCTACAGAACTCTCCACCTCAAATCAACAGAATATACATTCTTCTTAGCACCACATTGCACTTATTCTAAAATTGACCACATAATTGGAAGTAAAACACTCCTCAGCAAATGCAAAAGAACAGAAATCATAACAAGCAGTCTCTCAGACCACAGTGCAATCAAATTAGAACTCAGCATTAGGAAACTCACTCAAAACCACACAACTACATGGAAACTGAACAACCTGCTCCTGAATGACTACTGGGTAAATAACGAAATGAAAGCAGAAATAAAGATGTTCTTTGAAACCAATGAGAATGAAGGCACAACATACCAGGATCTCTGGGACACATTTAAAGCAGTGTTTAGAGAGAAATTTATAGCACTAAATGCCCAAAAGAGAAAGCAGAAAAAATCTAAAATCGACACCCTAACATCACAATTAAACGAACTAGAGCAAAAAAATGCAAAGGCTAGCAGAAGACAAGAAATAACTAAGATCAGAGAAGAACTGAAGGAGATAGAGACACAAAAAAACCTTTCAAAAAATCAATAAATCCAGGAGTTGGTTTTTTGAAAAGATCAACAAAATAGATAGACAGCTAGTCAGACTAATAAAGAAGAAAAGAGAGAAGAATCAAATAGACAAAATAAAAAATGATAAAGGGATATAACCACTGATCCAACAGAAATAAAACTACCATCAGAGAATACTATAAACACCTCTATACAAATAAACTAGTAAATCTAGAAAAAAATGGATAAATTCCTGGACACATACACCCTCCCAAGGCTAAACCAGGAAGAAGTCGAATCCCTGAATAGATCAAAACAAGTTCTGAAACTGAGGCAGTGATTAATAGCCTACCAACCAAAAAAGTCCAGTACCAGACGGATTCACAGCCGAAGTCTACCAGAGGTACAAAGAGAAGCTGGTACCATTCCTCCTGAAAGTACTGCAAACAATAGAAAAAGAGGGAATTCTCCCTAACTCATTTTATGAGGCCAACATCATCCTGACACCAAAACTTGGCAGAGACACAACAAAAAAGCAAAATTTCAGACCAATATCCCTGATGAACATCGATGCAAAAATCCTCAATAAAATACTGGCAAACCGAATCCAGCAGCACATTAAAAAGCTTATCCACCATGATCAAATCAGCTTCATCCCTGGGATGCAAGGCTGGTTCAACATACGCAAATCAATAAATGTAATCCATCACATAAACAGAACCAATGACAAAAACCACACGATTATCTCAATAGATGCATAAAAATCCTTTGACAAAATTCAACAGCCCTTCATGCTAACAACTCTCAATAAATTAGGTATTGATTGAATATATCTCAAAATATTAAGAGCTATTTATGACAAACCCACAGCCACTATCATACTGAATGCGCAAAAACTGGAAGCATTCCCTTTGAAAACTGGCACAAGACAAGGATGCCCTCTCTCACTACTCCTCTTCAACATAATATTAGAAGTTCTGGCCAGGGCTATCACGCAAGAGAAAGAAATAAAGTGTATTCAAATAGCAAGAGAGGAAGTCAAATTGTCTCTGTTTGCAGATGACATGCTTGTATATTTAGAAAACCCCATCATCTCACCCCAAAATCTCCTTAAGCTAATAAGCAATTTCAGCAAAGTCTCAGGATACAAAATCAATGTGCAAAAATCACAAGCATTCCTACACACCAATAATAGACAAACAGCCAAATCATGAGTGAACTCCCATTCACAATTGCTACAAAGAGAATAAAATACTTAGGCATAAAACTACAAGGGATGTGAAGGACGTCTTCAAGCAGAACTACAAATGACTGATCAAGGAAATCAGAGAGGACACAAACAAATGGAAAAACATTCCATGCTCAAAGATAGAATCAATATCGTGAAAATGGCCATACTGCCCAAAGTAATTTATAGATTCAATGCTATCCCCATCAAGCTACCTTTGACTTTCTTCACAGAATTTTTAAAAAACTACTTTAAATTTCATATGGAATCAAAAATGAGCCCGTATAGCCAAGACAATCCTAAGCAAAAAAAGAAAAAAGCTGGAGGCATCACGCTACCTGACTTCAAACTATACTACAAGGCTACAGTAACCAAAACAGCATGGTACTGGTACCAAAACAGAGATACAGATCAATGGAACAGAACAGAGGCCTCAGAAATAACACCACACATCTACAACCATCTGATCTTTGACAAACCTGACAAAAACAAGAAATGGGGAAAGGATTCCCTATTTAATAAATGGTGTTGGGAAAATAGCTAGCCATATGCAGAAAACTGAAACTGGACCCCTTCCTTATAACTTATACAAAAATTAACTCAAGATGGATTAAAGACTTAACCTAAGACCTGAAACCATAAAAACCTTAGAAGAAAACCTAGGCAATACCATTCAGGACATAGGCAACGGCAAAGACTTCATGACTAAAACACCAAAAGCAATGGCAACA
Organism: Homo sapiens; assembly: GCF_000001405.40. NCBI lineage: Eukaryota > Metazoa > Chordata > Mammalia > Primates > Hominidae > Homo > Homo sapiens. Next base: position 129,288,122 of record NC_000004.12, on the reverse strand, counting down.
AAAGCCAAAATTGACAAATGGGATCTAAACTAAAGAGCTTCTGCACAGCAAAAGAAACTGTCATTAGACTGAACAGGCAACCTACAGAATGGGAGAATATTTTTGCAATCTATCCCTCTGACAAAGGGCTAATATCCAGACTCTACAAAGAACTTAAACAAATTTAGAAGAAAAAAAACAAACAAACCCATCAAAAGGTAGGAGAAGGATATGAACAGACAGGTCTCAAAAGAAGACATTTATGCAGCCAACAAACATATGAAAAAATGCTCATCATCACTGGTCATTAGAGAAATGCAAATCAAAACCACAGTGAGATACCATCTCACACCAGTTAGAATGGTAATCATTAAAAAGTCAGGAAACAACAGATGCTGGAGAGGATATGGAGAAATAGGAACTCTTTTACACTGGTGGGAGTGTAAATTAGTTCAACCATTGAACTAATGGTTGATTCCTCAGGGATTTAGAACCAGAAATACCATTTGACACAGCAATCCCATTACTTGGTATATACCCAAAGGATTATACATCATTCTACTATAAAGACACATGCACATGTATGTTTATTGCAGCACTGTTCACAATAGCAGAGACTTGAAACCAACCCAAATGCCCATCAATGATAGACTGGATAAAGAAAATGTGGCACACATACACCATGGAATACTATGCAGCCATAAAAAAGGATGAGTTCATGTCCTTTGCAGGCACATGGATGAAGCTGGAAACCATCATTCTCAGCAAACTAACACAAGAGCAGAAAACCAAACACCGCATGTTCTCACTCATAAGTGAGAGTTGAACAATGAGAACACATGGACACAGGGAAGGGAACATCACACACCAGGGCCTGTTGGAGGGTGGTGTGCTGGGGGAGGGATAGCATTAGAAGAAATACCTAATGTAGGTGATGGGTTGATGGGTGCAGCAAACCACCATGGCACATGTATACCTACTTAACAAAACTGCACATTCTGCACATGTATGCCAGAACTTAAAGTATAATAAAAAAAATTTTTAATAAAATAAAATAATTTCATTGCTTCAAACTCCTTTTTATGAGGAAGAATTTGATATTTAGAAAAGCCAAATGCCATTTGTAGGTATGATGAAGATATCCAAGTTAAGTCAGGCTTGAAGCTTTTCCTCAATTAGCTTAAAATCTAGCATAAAAATATAGCATGTATATTATATAAATATAAGCATAGCTAACAACAGTATTGTTTTCATCTGTTACTTTTAACCTGTATTATCTCAGTTTTCCTTATGACAATTCTAAGAATAAAATAAAATTATAAGATCCATTTTTATACATAAAGGAATAAAGATCAGAGATGCTAAACATTTATTTGCATGATTTCAAACAATAAAATGGACAAGATTAATCCCATTCTCTCTGTATCTTGTCCTAGTTCTACCATACGATGTGACCCATCCCCATAACAGTCTCAAGGAATAAATCTCATCAGAGAAACTAAGAATAATCATAGATTAGAAAAAAAGGAATTACAATCAGGTGAAAGGAGCAGTGGACTCATGGAACATATTACTTTAAGCTTGGTCTTGAAGATAGGATAAGATTATGTTTAAATCTTAAACATAATAGAGGATGGAGGATCCTAGGTATAGTGGATTGCATTAAAGAAAAATGTATTGAGATTTTGAAGAAGGATATGGTAAATTTAAACCTGTATTTTATCAAAATTGATATGGCAGCACTATGTGAGATACTTTAATGAGAGAAGGCATTTGAGGTCAATAGACAAGTTAGGAGACTATTACATTAAGTAGGCAAGGAATAAAAATAGTATGAATTCAGTTGATGGCAATGAAGATGAAGAGCTAGAATTGCTCAGATTTGGGGATTTATGGTACGTGCAGTGGAAACAAAGAAAAGGCTAAAGTTTCAAGGTTGTATGAGTAGAGGATTAGGCACATAACAAAAATAGGGGTACAACAGGTGAGTAGGCTTCAGTGGCGAAATTATTTTTCCAGCCTATCACTTCCCAGTTCCCCACAGCTAAACCTACAGTTTAGTCAGTCCCAACCCAATCTCCAACCACATTTTTCTTAAAGCAAGATGAAATTACCCAGCTTCATCCCCCAACACTTCACCCCTAATCTCATAGGGTTCAGATTATGTCATTATCCCCTTTTAGGATTATATTTCCAGCTACCACCTGCCTATCTGTCTCCTTGGACTTTTAAGTGTGGCTACTTTACTTATGACTCCATTCTGCCTTCTTTTTTGGAGGACTCAATGTTTCCCATTTAGTTTACCTGAATATTTCCTTACTCTTCGGACAGATAACTTAACCACCCTACTGAACCCAGTTTTGTCCTTCTGCCTCCAGAGCCAATGCAGGATGTTTCTACCCTGACAATTTTTATCCACCAATTTGTCACCAAGATGTGTTATGAATACCAACATTCTTATCAAAATTATACAGTAAGTTTCAAATAGAAAACATTATCTGGAACAAAGTTCACTTTACCACATCTGGTTCTATAACCAGTTTTCTGTATAGCATGCCATAGCATTTCAAATTCTTAGTTTTTATATGTAACTGAAATATTAAAATTAAATAATTATTCAAAATTTTTATCAATAGGATCAGTTTTTATTTAAATTCTATAATAAAAATGGACTTTATTGATCATCATTTTTACACATCTAATTTGACCAATTATGGCATAACCATCATAACTTTCTTGTATTTTTTTGTGGTCATGACTTCTTCTAAGTCCAATTTTTCTCAGTCACAATTGATAGGTCTACATTATATCAAGTATACTTGATTCACTCATTATTTAATTGTCAAAAACAAATGTTAATGTGTGCATTTTCAGCAATAGTTCATTGAGGCTTTATACATTCACGTATTAAGTCAAACATGTTTATTGATTACCTTTTATGTACCAGGCATTATTTTAGATGCTGATAATTTAAAGGTGTGATTTGTTAATTATTACAGTTCTCTCAGAAAATTCCAAGTTTGTTCCATTTTCCATTTTTGGCCTATTGAGGTCCTGATCTAATTTTTATCATTTTAATCATTTAATTCACTGGGTGATAACTGGCATTGAAGAGATAAAGAAAAGATAAGTTTACTGGGTCAAAACATTGAGGTCAAAATAACAATGTCAAAATGTCCTGGCTCATATATCCCTTGTCCTTACTGGGCAGGTCCAGTTCCAGGTTTAGGCAGTGATTATTTCCCCCATGTTGTGTTACAAGCATACTACCATTCTTTATCAAGCAACAACAAAGACAATGAACTCAGTCCTCATATCTTGAATTAAAGGTGCCGGAATGGCCCTCAAGTAAAGGCCACTGGAACTTAGGAGAGTACCCAAAACTACAGATAAAAATTCACAAGACATATAAATAGAAGAGAAAGTTGAAATGATAAGTCTAGATGAGATTTCCAAAGGAGAGATCACAATAAAAGAAAATTAGAGGAAGATCAAGAACCAGTTTTGTGGTCAGAAGAGGAAAGAAACAAGGAAGGACTTTTTAAAAGTGGAGGCTTTTGAATAATTAGAGAAGATACCATTTTCAAAACAGAGGGAGATAAGACTTCAAGAACTTAAAAGTTAACATTAAAATTATTTTGTTTATAATAAAATAATTGGTGGGGACATAGTATGCAAAAAAAGATTTTGTAAATAAGTGATAGCACAGGCATAGACTAGAACACACCAAGGAGCAATTTGCAACAATTAAAATTATGCCAAACAAACCACACACATATTTCTTCGTTGTTATCAACTGAAACTAGAATGACAGATTCTCTTTATATTTCTGCTAATTCATCCCCACTGTGGACAGCTGAGAAGGCTAACTTCAAAGGAAGTTTGTATCAGTGCCCAACTTTGTACCTTGCTCTGGTACTGCAAAGAAATGAAATTGGCTCATGATTATTTTTAAAGACAAAGTATAAGAAGGGAGAGGGGAGAATGATAGAGGAAAAAAAATGAAGATCTGCATTTTGTAGTCATGTGGTGAAGCACATATTCTGTCTTATTCTAGGCCTATCCCCTAGTATTTCCTCATGAAGTTGGAGAACCTAGAACCTAATCCCATGAGATGGTAGAGATGTGCAACAAGGTAAAAAGGTGTGGATTTTTGTGGAGCCAGAGTCATCTACTGGAGTTGGATGGAAGCATCAACCAACTGGCCAGCCTCCATCCCAAAACACTATCCAGGAGCTGGAGACTTCAAACAGCATGTGTCTTGGAGAGAACAATTTCCCGTGGTGAGAGGAGGGAAAGTAACCACTGTGATGCTTCTGAAGCCTCATAGGGGTGCAGACAGGTGCCCTTAGACACTGTCATGTGCTACAGGATTTCAGCAGCTCATCAGTGTCAAAAGAGTCACAGCAGCTGCACAGAGTCAACAAAAGGACAGGATCCATTCCATTTGGAGATCAGTGGAGACCTCCCCTTCCCTACTGACCTTGGGCTGTGGTTGCACCCCTCATCCACAGTGCCAGGAACCAAACCAGGCAAAGACACTAGCAACAAGTATCAGCAAAAAGGGAACCTGTGGATGAGATACACATCCTACCCACCATCCATTTCGTACTTCACTTCCACAGATCACTTACACTTTCCTGGCAGGTAAGCACGAACCCACGAACTACAGTAGAAAGAAGAAAGGAGGGAAAAAATCTTCAGAGGGAAAAAAATATGGAGAGCAAACTTTGAGCAGTATCTAAGACTATAGCGTGTGAATTTGACTGCAAAAAAAGAGTCTGAGTTTCAAATTGGAAGAGACCATAATAACTTAAAGACTCCTTATTAAGTTTTTCACTGCTGATCCAAAAAAAAATCAAAAATCAAGGAGCACTTACATGGCTATTTTTATTTGTGAAACGTATTTTCATTTTTTGCACAGATCTGATTTGTAACTGTTCAAGTTATATCCATTACAAATATGTGATATCATGGAAAATGGTATATAACATTGTTAAATGAGAAAAGTAGTTTTAAAACAGTCTGTATAGCATGTTAATTTTTTTAATGATACATAAGCTTTGAAAGAAAATACTGAGCTAAATACTACGCTATTAAGAATGGCTCTCTCTCTTTGAATGGCAACATTATGGGAGACTTCCTTTCTTATTTTTCTTAGCTGTATTTCCTATTGTTTTTATTAAGTAGCAGGGTATTTTTTCTTTTAACTAAGACAAATGTTTGTTTTAAAAAGGAAAAATGGCCAAGAGTATTGAGAGCCTCAAAGAGAATGATTTCAATGAGGATAAGAACTGTAAAAAATAAAAGGCAATTAGATTTGGGTGGTGGAATACTCATCACTGACCCACAGAAGAATAATTGTATGAAACTGACAGGGATGGACAGTCATTTTTAAAATTCTAATATCATTCATTTTAAAAATACTCTTGGTACTATATTGTTACATCTCATATATACACAGAATAGATGATATGATTCATGTCCTCATTGTACCCTTACTGAGAAAGGAGCAGAATCTTAGACATTTGTCTTTGTTCTGATGGAAGCTGCTAACCTGACTAGAAGCAATTTGTTCACAACACCACACTTTGTATGTCAACACAAAGATAAATGTAAGAAAAATTACCCCCTCACTTTTCCATGATGTTGCCCTGCCTCCAGGCAGTCCTTCCATGTCAGATGCAGAATTAGGGGCTAATTTAAGACTTCTAGATCACAGTTCACTTAGTTTGCTTCCATTTTTTACATTTCTATAAGACTGTCACTATATATGACAGGTTAATGATGATATATTTACTCCTGGATATTTTTAGATATATTCCAGATTGTACAATAAAGTTTTACAGAGATGTGCACGACACAGTAGGTGGTTGATATCCAAATTAGTTACAGCTGCCACATTTAAATAACAGGAGAAGAAATATAAAATAAGATAATCGTACCTCTATTGATAAATATAGTATATCAAATGATGATAAAAAGAATATAAACCTCATCGTGACCTCTCATGTCATTGGATGTTACTATTATTCCAGTTACAGTTTCTATTTCTAACCTTAAAAGGACTGGATGTTACTGTTATTCCAAAGTTTCTGTTTCTATTTCTAACCATAAAGGATAATTGCACAGCCCCTGAGGAAAAACAATAGCCTTAATATGAAGAGTTCCTAATGCATAATACAATGTCAGGAAAACAGTGGGTTCTCAATAAATGTTAGTTGATGCTGACAGTAGAGTCAAATTTAGATTATGAAATTTTATGAATTTCAACACATGTATATTTCTTTAAAAATACTAAGGATGCAACTGGTCCAAGAAAAAAAAAAGAGACGAATCCTTGTGAGTTTCACATTAAATATTTAGAGTCTTCTGACCCAAGGACACCAGCTAAGCCATGATAAGAATAACGTGCTCCAGGCTGTTCAAAATTGTTTGACCCTATGAAACATGAAAGCTGTTTTACTCTCAAAGGGTTCTCTTATAAAAGAGTAAAAGTGACCTCATTCTTCTTGCAGAGTAACCAAAAGGAAAGTCTCTTAGATCAGCTTTCTAAACTTAACAGTCTAGTTAGTCTGAAGTAGCAAAATTCAATGGCGCCTACGGGACACCCACTATCTTTCTTGAGTGTAAGATGAACAGCTCCTATCTCTATAAGAGTAAGAGGTCACTTGGACAGCATGAATTAAGAGTTTCCTAAAGGTCCTCCTGTCCAGAAACCTCTTTTACTAACCTACTGTATAGTACCAGTTCATGGGGCCCTAGGGTTAGAAGAAACCTCAAAGAGCATTCTGCCCAATGACCTCATTTAATAATTGAGAAGAGATAAAATGACTCACCTTAAGTCACTTTAACAAAAATGAAGTGACAGCACAGGGACTAAAACCCAGACCTTTGTCAGGAAACTGCTCTTCACATCATTTTGGCTATCCTTCTTTCCTTCTGGCATGATGTTCCCACCTTTAAGATTACTATGGGGTAAAAAATAAATTCAACAACACAATATCTGCCCCCAAATCATTTCAGAAGCACGTTTACATGAACAAAATTATATTATTATCTGTAGCCATTGTGCATCCAAGAGGAAAGCACTCCCGGCTTATTAGCTCTGCTTATGTGTCCTCCCCCATCTCTGCAAAGCCACTCCCCTTCCTCCCTTCTGATAGAAATCTTGCCCAAGTATTGCCCCCAACTCAATGCTTTCATTTTCTAATCGCTCCATGACAGAACATATTCTCCTACCTCTGGATTCCTATAACATCCACATATAAATATTCACATATTCACTATCCTACTCAACAATATAGAACTTTACTTTGTTATTTGACTGTTTCATGTCTCTATATCTTGTCTCCAGTTAATTTGTATATTCCCTGATAGCCGGTCCATGTATCTTATTTCTTTTTTTTTTTTTTTTTTTTTTTTGCGACGGAGTCTCGCTCTGTCGCCCAGGCTGGAGTGCAGTGATGTGATCTCGGCTAACTGCAAGCTTCACCTCCCGGGTTCACGCCATTCTCCTGCCTCAGTCTCCCGAGTAGTTGGGACTACAGGCGCCCGCCACCAGGCCTGGCTAAATTTTATGTATTTTTAGTAGAGACGAGGTTTCACTGTGTTAGCCAGGATGATCTCGGTCTCCCGACCTCGTGATCCGCCCGCCTCGGCCTCCCAAAGTGCTGGGATTACAGGTGTGAGCCACCGCGTCCGGCCATGTATCTTATTTCATTAGTGTCCTCCATAGAATCTCATGTCTACTTTTATTTTTTTAATTATTTCTTCAGTCATTACGTATTTTTAATAAATTTTATTTTGTATATTTAGAGCATACGATATGATGTTATGAAACACATATAGATACATAAGTAAACTGTTTACTTATGTCTACTCTTAAAATAAATTGATACATTTAACATTGCCTCTTTCCAAACAGAATTTAAAGCATTAATAATATCTGTTGAGTTTAGCCAAATATGAATTCAGGAGACTGCATTTCCGAGGAGGAAGAAAAATATCAAGAGCAGCAGATAAGGCAGACCTACATGACAAGGTGCCCCACATCGGCCCCAGGCCTTCACCTACTGCACAGCCGAGCTAAGCCTGCTGTCACATCCCACAACAGGCAAGTTTTCCCTGAAACCCTTTCATGTTTTATTTCACATTAAATGACAACATACAATCTCCCATCATGACATTTCAGAAACCAGTTGTTCCAAGGTATTGAAAGCCGACTCATCACAACTCATTTGAACTGTTTGGATACACGAGGTGATGGAGGTTCCGAGGGCAAGCGCTCTATATTTGCATCTTAGAAAAAACAAGTCACCCTGATCTGTGATTTGGTACTTGAAACTCTAATCATGCCTTGGGCTTATTTGCATCACATTGTTTCAGATACATATAGTGTCATTGAGGCATACTAAACAGGATATATTCAAGAAATTCCAAAATTCCCATTTTTATTAATCCCTATGAAATTATGATACACCTGTATTATTTACTTAATAAACCTGTGTTCCTATTTAAAAGGAAAGTCTTATTCCCATGAAGGCAAACGAAACAAACATTTATAAAAATACTTATTTTCTTACAAAATAATTACAATTAATTGAAATCACTAAAATATTAAAGTATTTGGTTGTCTGCTTATTTACTGTAATTTTTTTCCTTATACACATTAAATTTTTCTTCAAACTTTGAATTCTACCTGGTTAAGTAGCTGATAATTCTGAATGACATTTGCTGACTTTTAATTAGAACCTGTTATGAAATTAGTGTTATTTTTCTCAGAATTTATAAATATACCATATATATTCATCAAAATGCACAAAATGTTGAATTTTAAAAATGGTATGGCTTGTGATGCAATGTTAATTAAAATCACAGACTATTCTGTGATAAAAGAGACTCTTTTATCCATATTATAGCTCTTTTAGCAGCTTGTAAATTTCAGAAATTATAATACTATTTTCCTACATCATGTCAACATGAAGATATAATTAAGTCCCAATGACAATAACAGAATGGCCACTACTTGAATATCTGCTCCACTCAAATTCATGAAGGTTTGCCAGGATAAATATTCCTTGTCATAATGGTATCCTACATTAATCCAGTCCAAAGTACACTCTGCCTGGAAGCAAGCCACAGCATGGAATCTTATCCAAATAAATAAAAGTCTGGCAACTAAAAAACAATTAAAGCAATTTAGATCTTCATTGCGGCCTCTCAGAAATATTCATGAGATACAGAAAACAAAATATGCTTTCTCCATCTCTGCCTCAATTTTCCCAAACATGGCAGCTGCCCTATTGTATCTCTCATGGCTCTTTCCACACCAGCTTGCCTCTCCTTTCTCCCCAGTTCTGCCCAGCAAGGCCCTTTATGGTTAGATCAAGATAGACTCCCTGGCACTCATCTCATCAATATGTTCTCCAGTTCTGTTCAACAAAAGAAGGCCAGAGATCTGACCTAGTTCTGTAATCTTCCTGACAGGCAATAGATACCAATCACTCTCTCCTCCCCTGCCCATGTACATGTGGCTCCCTGGATCCAAATACTAATTCGAAACTGGATTGATAATGCTCCTAATTCAATTCATGGACCCACACCTGCTTCGCAGCTCCATGCTTCAACAGTTACTTCACATCACCAATGCAATGAGGCTATAAAGCAGAATCATTTTTGCTCCCGGGATTCTACAAAAATATTTGAAATGCTAATGTTCATCATCTCACTGCCTTCTTTCCAAAGAGTGCCACCACAAGAGTAAAAAGAATTGGGGGAAACAGTTAAAAAAAAATCTAGGTCAGAAGATGATATTGATCAGCCCACAACCTTCTGTTCTCATATTGACCCTTCAATCCTGGACCAATTCTTTTCTACAAAGCTTCTAAACAAATAGCCAGAAGCATGTATTACAGGACTTTAAATGTATTTAATTTTTGACCTACTAATTAAACATACTGACTGTGGTTTGTACACAAAGATTTTTATAACATCTTTTTTTTAATAGTAAAATGTTGAAACAGCCAAAATATCATACAATAGGAAAATGTTTAATTATGGCATATACATTCAATGAAATATTATATAGCAATATTCAAAGAGATTGATCAAATTTGGGAAATGCTCTTCTCTCAATCAAGTTGGATACACATGATATAAAACAGAAATCCTCTTCTTCAAGTGAATCCATATTTGATTAGTAAATAAAAATAATTGTTAGGGGAAGATAAATAAAAATTAGTGTACATACATATAATATATAATAATACACATAACATAATCATAATCTAAAATATAAATTATATTCTTTCACCAAACTTTGAATGTAGAACAAGTCCATTGACAAGAGTTCTGCATTTCTGCAAAAATCATACCCACAATGCTGAAGAATGTTAAGCAGGGTCCTGTTAACATTTTTAAAAGATCCCTCTTATTGCTTTATGGAGAGTTCATGTCAGCAAGGCAAGAGTGAAAGCAGAGAAACAAGATAGGAGAAGATTCCGATAAGTCAAGAACGACAAATGCACAAAATGAAGAAGGAGGCTTGGACAGGGGTTTTAGCAGTGTGGGTGGAGATAAATAGCTGAATTGAAACAGATTTTTACAGTAAGTAGATGTCAACAAGATTTTTAAGTCAGTAAATATGGGGGAGGAGAAGTGACTCCTAGGCCTCTGAAACTGGGGAAGTATAGAAACACTAACTGAAAAGAAACAAACTAGGGAACAGGCAGGAAGGCTAGCAAAGAGTCAAGCTGTGTTGGACATACCACACTAGAGGTATCTGTGAAACATTAAAGTAAAATCAAATGGACAGTTGACTATACAACTCTGAAACTCAAGGGAGAAACTGAAGCTGGTGTTATAAATTTATGAGTCATCAGCCTATACATTTAATTTAATGACTAGAGATCGAATGAAATTATCCAGAGGGAATGTGTAGACAAAACAAAAAGACAAATAAATTAGAAAATGAAGAAGTCAGTAAAGATGGTAACCAATGAGACAAAGAAACCTAGCTTTTCCAGGGTTCCAGAAGCAGATGAGGAATCATGCTAAGAGGCTAAAGGAGATGAAGACAAATAGCTGACACTAATTTTGACAAGCTGAAGGATAGGGGTGGGCATGATTAGAGCAGTTTCAGTGGAGGGTTGGAGAGAAAATACTAATTAAAATACATTTTTTAATGAAACAATGTGAGGAGAAGAAATGGACACAGCAAATATGGCAACATTTTCAAGGAATTTTACTATGAAGGGTAGCAGAGCAATGGAGTGGTAGGAGGCGGGCAGAATAAAGTCAAGGAAGGGTTTTTCCTTAAATGATGAAAATCTATTACACCGAGGGAGTGATCGGTAGAGAAGAATTTTTCCTTCTCTACCGATCACTCCCTCGGTGTAATAGATTTTCATCATTTTCATTACTCATCTACCGATCGATAGAGAAGGATGAAGCCGATGAGTGATGGGATATTGCAGTGGCAGAGAATCCCAGTGAATAAGTGGGAATGGAAGACCCAGTGCACAGTGAAGTGTTGGCCATGGGGAAAAGCTAGGACAGTTCATCTTCAGAAACCAGAGGGAAAGCAGAGTACAGGAATAAAGATGTAGATAGGTTTGGTGATGGGAAGTGGAAGCAGTTCCTATCTGAGTACTCTGACATCAGCTGGAAATAAGGCTGAGATACAAAGTACTGGAAGTTTTTAAAAGAGAAATCGTAAAATGGTTGCCTCAGAGAGAGGGAAAATAAATTTACTAGAGAAATATAATTGGACTGCTTAGCAGAGCTAAATGCTCACTTGAGATTTTTGCTAATAAATTTAATCAGACCCATAAATATAGTTGGGTATTTCTTTTCAGCCACATTCAGCTATTTGATTTTAGCCATAAGACAAAGCAGAGTTATATTTAACCAGAATAGAGTTTTGTCAGGTAAGAGAAAAGCTGGGGAGTTAAGGATGTATCCTAGACAGTGACAAAAGGCTATTGACTCTAAGCTAGAAAAGGAGAGAAGTGAGGACACAGGTGGGTGATGGTGGGAAGAAATGAATAGTGAAAATGTGGTGAAGGGAGGGGCAATGGATTGAAGGTCCTGGTAGCATCAAGAACAGTTGAAGTGGGAGTACTAGGGAAAGTGAGCTAGAAAGACAGGAAATGATGGTTTCACATGAATGCTTGAAACTGATATTTTGATGGTGAGATCACTATTACCAAAGACAAGGTTTTTAGGGCTCTTCAGAGAAACATAACCATTAGAGAGATGATGATGATGATGATGAAGAGATAGACAGATGGATGGATAGATAGATAGACAGATAGACAGACAGACAGACAGAGATAGATAGATATAGACAGAGATATAGATAGAGATTTATCCTGGGAATTAGCTCATGTGATTATGGAGGCTGAGAAGTTTCATTGTCTGGAGAATGAGGAAAAGTGGTGGTGTAATTCAGTCCAAGAACCAGGGGGAAAGGCCACTGGTGTAAGTCCCAGGATCCAAAAGCTGGAGAACCAGGAACTCCAATGTCTAGGACAGGAGAAAAATGAATGACCTAGCTCAAGAAAGAGAGAGAATTTGTCCTTATTCTGCATTTTGTTCTAATTGAGCCCTCTAAGGACTCAATTGCCCTGGTAAGGGCAATTTTCTTTACTCTGTCCACCAATTCAAATACCAATCTCTTCCTGAAACACCCTCCCAGACACACTCACACATATGTTCACCAGCTATCTGGGCATCCCTAGGCCCATCAAGTACGACCCTGCAAGTGGGTGATAAGGAAGACAAGATCATTGGAAATGAGAGAGTCAAGGCACTGACTGGCTAGGATATGGGTGGATTGTCCAAATGGTTATCATTAAATTGATGCAGAAATTACAGTATAGATTAGTATAGCCAGGTACTAACCCCTCAGTAAATGAGACACTTGTCATATTGTATTGAAGTAACTAGTTTACATGATAAACTCTACAACTGAACTATGAGCTTGTCAAGAATAGGATCCATACAATTTTATATTTCCTAGGAGAATGTCCAGTACATAATAAGCATTTAATAAATGTTTGCTAAAGCACCCTTGTCCCAAGATCAATTCATGGAGGACTGACATCAAAAGGGGGAAAGTAAGCCACAACTTGGGGATAAAAAGCCAAGACACATGGATGCCTCAGAAAGGCTCAAAAGTTTGGTGTTGTTTTCAACAAAAAGTATTTAAATACTTAACCACATTTTGAGGAGAAGATATTGCAGCCACCATGATTCTCCTTTGCTTTCTTTTGAGAACATGGTCAGCTTCTCCTACTGTTTCTAGTAATTCAACATTGGTTCCAAATTTCCTTATCCCACACAAAAAAATTAAGTCCTTATGTTAAACAAACCCTATTTCTTATAGGATAATTTAGCTTGATTATTCTAATATGCCTTTTACAATCTCACGTCCTACTCTAAACAGCTTGTAAACATATTCCTTCCAACCCAAGAGAGTGCATGCCCTTATATGTACAGTGATGTTTCAGAATCTCTCATAGATCCTGATTCAACTCTGTCCCCTTGTTTGAGACCGGGAGGATTAAGGGGAAATTATGTCAATAGCTACATGAGGAGGCAGTCTATAAAATGCTAACATATAACTTGAATAAATGTTTTTAAATTCATCCTCTATTGCAGACATGCAGCACCCTCAGGTAAACAACCCTCTCTGCTGCAGACCTAGCTCTATTGAGTATTCTTAATGAACATTTGCAATGAAGGCAGATGAAAGTCAGTTGCAATCAGTTGAATTTCCAAAAATTGAGTGATGCAGGATTATTGGAGTGCAATTTATTTTACCGACTAAATTTTGAGTTCATTACCTCCTAACAAGTTGTCTGGCTTGGCATACACAGAAGAAAGCTAAAGAAAAAACAGCAGTTTATTAATAATATCTAACTTGGAGTTAAATGACTTGCCCTAGGTCACACAGTTAGTAAGTGACAGAGCTGGTATTTAAACCTAGGCAATCTGGCTCAGAGCCTGCATTCTTACCCATTACACTATTTTTGTCTCTTTAAAAAAAAAATTGACACTGGTTTGGCATGCAAAAGTAAAATACTGAGTAACTCTTTCTTTGCACAATTTGTTCCAATAGATGTTCAATCTCTCTCCATCTCCACTAAATAAATGCGAAACAAGTATTTAAAGAACACTGGTTTTTTGTTTTTGTTTTTGTTTTTGTTTGAGATGGAGTCTCGCTCTGTCGCCCAGCCTAGAGTACTGTGGCGCAATCTCAGCTCACTGCAACCTCCGCCTCCCAGGTTCAAGCAATTCTCCTGCCTCAGCCTCCAGAGTAGCTGGGATTACAGGCGCACACCACCATACCCAGTGAATTTTTGTATTTTTAGTAGAGACGGGTTTCACCACGTTGGTCAGGCTAGTCTCGAACTCCTGACCTTATGATCCGCCCACCTCAGCCTTCCAAAGTGCTGGGATTACAGGCGTGAGACATCGCGCCTGGCCAAGAACATTGGTTTTAAAAGGTGGCAAATCATTAGCCTCCCTCAATCAGACACACATTCTCGATCTAGTCCTAGGTGGTAGACTGCATTTTTGTTCTCTATGCTACACTTTCCCTGGAATCTACCCTTTGCTGTATGACTTTGCAGTTTCTCCTGCAAGGCAAAAGGTTTACTTCTCAATCTTTCACTTAGAGCTAGGTCTTGTGGCTTGCTTTTAAGCCAATGGGATATTACCAAGCAAAGCTTGAGATGCGGTTATGCAACTGGGTTTGTTCTCTTACGCTCTGCCATGAACATGCAAAGAACATGCCCTGAGTAACTCTCTATTCCCAGAATGAGAGACACCTGGAGCAAACCTAAACCTCACCTCCAGCCATTTGCTAAGGTCAGCCTCGATCAGCTTGGCTCCAGTCAAATCTCAGATACAGGAGAAAAAGGGAATTGCTTATTGTTGCTTGTCATTGAGTTTCACAGTAGTTTCTAATCAGCATCAATTCCACCAAAGTTAGCTGATAGTCTGCTTAGGACCCATAAAGTCTTGGTCCCATTCTTCTACTCTGAGACTCCAGCTCAAGCCTGATAAAGTGTCTAGGAAAGACTAACCACAAACATTCTAAAGAAAAAAATCTCTTCATTGTCCTTTGAGAGTAAAAAGAATTCTCTCTTTTACAATTTATACAAAACTCTGCTTCCTTCTTGTGAACAACCAGAAAAGAAAATACAAAGAGGAAAATATAAGAAGGAAGTTGAGGGGGCTTTTATGCATTGTTTTCTCCTGTTTTAAGTATTTGGTATACTTTCTTGTTGGTAGCACAAAGAAGGAAGAAAAAATGAAAGGGAAAAACTCTTGAGAAATGAAATTGTTCCCCTTATTTCAGGAGTGGTTGTTTAAAAATATGTGAAACTACATAAAGGGCCAGAGAAGCAGGAAACCAATTCAAAGAACCAGTGGAAGACAAGAAAGGGAGGACAGTAAGCCATGCATCACTTAAACGAGCTTCCAGGCAGACACACCTACTTGAACCAGAGAAGTTTCTATTCACAAGTGAGGAAAATTGTTAAAGAGCTCTTACTCTAGTGTACTAGTGTGTCTAAGTTTGTAGCTGGTATCATTCCGAAGTGGAGCTCTGAAAGCATTTTCTTGTAGGAATAATTATCTCACATTGTGATTAATTTTACAGTGTGTTACATTTAGTCATTCATTCCATAATTGTTTCTTAGTACTTACTCTGTAACCAGGCATTTTGTTGTGGTAAGTGATAAAGGTAATGACCTGAAGACTGCCAAAGGAACCTCAGCAACAAGTATAGCATTGTTTAAGGGAAATTTCAAACAACTGGCTTACAAATCACCTTTCAGAACACAATCTCTCTATAAATTAGGAACTGTGTTGTTCTGTACTTTTGTCCACTAAGCGCTCAGAGAGGCTCAAGAAACTTGAGGATTAAAAATAGATGTGCTGGCTAATTCTTAAAAGGAAACTGCAATGAGATTACTACATGGAATTAGTAGGTCAAAATTGTAGTCTATATGATTAAGTCGGTCAGGAATGGCTTCATTTCAACTGGCTGGTATTACAACAAATACAGCCAGTAGCTTTAATAGGTGCTTAGCTGAAAAGAAGATAGTTTACTGCCTGCTGTTTTAGACAACTGATGACAATGCAGGAAAATGCACTTAAACTACAGCTCCATCTTCAATTAAACACTATCTATATTAAAAACAATTTTCAGAAATACCTCAAGTATGTTTTAGATTTTTTTAAAAGGACAATTTATATCACAGAAGTGTGGAAAGCTAGGCTGAAAAGCCATAGAGAGAAAAAGATTTCCAAATGCCTAACAGCTTATTGAACTGGAAGGATTCTACTGGGATAGAGTGAGAGAATTTACTGTCACGCCCATAAATCCTGTCCAAGGATGGAGCCTATGTTATTAGATCAAAGTGTGAATTAATTGACTCTTTCCACATAACAGGATCTATTTCAGAGCCTGAACACCAGTTTATGTGAAAATGAGAGAGAATAGCAGAGTAAGGTATAAAGGACCTAAAAGCAGTAATAGTATTCATACCAACTGAGTTACAGCAAATTAAACACAGGATGGTGCATCTCAGTTTTGAAATTGACAATGCTAAAGAGGTCATAAAGAAGGGATCTGAAAGACAATAAGTGCAGTTTTGAGAGAGAAGGTAATTATGGCATTTTTGAGATTTAAAAGCAAAGAGCAATAGAAGTGGATTATTTAATGAACAATCGTGACACCTAGCACCAAGATTTTAAGAATCAGGCATGACTGGGAAGGGTAGGGAGAAGGAAAGAACAGAGAGAGGTTGGTCAGCGAACACAAAATTACAGCTAGATAGGAGGAATGAATTCTAATGTTCTATAGCACTGTAGGATGACTACAGTAAACAATAATTTATTGCATATTTTCAAATAGCTAGAAGAGAAGATTTTTAATGTTCCCAGCACAAAGAAATGATGAATGTTTGAGGTGATGGATATGCTACTTACCTTGATTTGATCATTATACATTGTATAGATGTATCAAAATATCATACTGTAACCCCATAAATAGGTAAAATTATGTCAATTAAAATAATTTATAAAAAGAATTAGGCATAATACAAAGTTTGAAAAACATTATGTTCCATTAAAATATTATTGACATCAATACACCTTTAACTATCCGTCTCTGTTACTGCATGTATAAATGTCCTCATAAAGACACAAACACAAAGATGGATGATTCCACCCTGTTACCTGTATCTGTTCAGCTAGGTTTTATTTAAATAACAAATGATGTATCTATGATGGATATATAGGATTCCCATGCAAATAGACCACTAAAATAAATCTTTCCATTCTTTATAACAAATGTTTGTTAATGACAAAAGAGGCCTATCTAAATCCCAAATGTCATTGGTCTCCTACTGGTGACTTTGCCATATCAGTGTTAGACTATAATTACTTAACAGAAAAAAAAATGCCTTTATAAACTTTTTGAAGAAACAAACTTCTGATTACAAACTGGCTTTTTTATATTCTTTATTTGCGAGGCATGTAAAAAGGATGATGCAAAACTACACAAAATTTTAGGTATCAAAAAACTAGCTGGGATTTGGATAACTTTTCACCTTTCTATTTGCAAATAGACACCCCCAAATGTGTAAAAGATATTATTGCCAACTCAAACAGGGCTGGTTTCTGTACTTATAAATGGATATGTGTAGCCAAATGGACATTTGAGAAATTATTTACTTGAACCATGGAGAAGACTATGATTGACTCCTTTGTCTCCATGCAGAAGAGGTTAAATTTATAAATTTCATGCAGACAAAAGTAAGTATAATTTATGCAGAAAAATAAATAGGTAGAGATTTAGAATACTAAATAAAACAAGTACACATAAATCATAATTTAATTCAGTATTATTTATTCATTCAATTCTACAAATATTGGATAAAACCTCACCATGTGCCCAACACTGTACTGCAGATTTAGAATCAGTAAATTTTAAAATTGTTTCTTGGGTTAAAAATAGTCATTCCAACAGTTTGTGACCACATGTGATTTTAGGTTGTCTGAATTCTAATGGCCACTCTTTCCATTACCTATCATGTGACCTGAAACAAATAAATAACTTTACCACAGTGGTGAAAAACAGGAGTTTAGAGCACATGATCTCAAAGGTCTTTTTCAGAACAAGATCATGTGCATCAATGAATCAAGGACAAATACATTAAAAATCAACTTACAAGAATAATTACAGTGCTAAAGTTCATTTTTGTATATAAAATATAAAAATAAATTTAATAATATGGTAACAAATTTGATAAGTTGTAGAAAATTCTGTCCAACACATACCACATCTGAAGACTACATCCCTTTGTATATGAAGTAAAATATCCTTTATATATAAAAGAAAACACATTTGAGAAGATGGTAAGAAACAGCCAACATTGAGCCAGAGACTCCCAAAAGTAGACCTCCGGAGAAACATTCCAGAGGCAGCTCTTCTCTCCACAACAGCAGCCACAACAGGATGTTCTTCAAAACCCTAGAAAAATAAGACCGATGGTGCATGTATGTGTGTGTGTGTGTGTGTGTTCTTTTCTCCATGAAGCTGCTTCAATTTCAGAATTTCCTTAGAATTCAGGTGAGATTCTGAACTTAACTCCTTTTCAAGGGCACCAAGCTGTGCCTGAAACAACTCTAGAATTCTGAAGGCAAAAGTTGTCTTCCATGTCAAGTGCAAAGAATCACCTTGCTTCCAATTAGAGCTCTGTTCCATAGTGTTGTGCCAATCATTTGAATGCTTTGCTCTCCTTTTTATAATAAATAAAAATTTAATAAAATATTCTCCCAAAGAGTCTACTGTATCTCCTTTTGCGGAGGTCACAAAAATTCCCCAGAAAAATTTAAAAAGTATCTCCACTTTATGTCAGTATAAGACTTATAACAATATTCCCATCAAGGCCAAAATACGCTATGAAATAAAGCATTTTAACTGAAATCTCTTTAAAGTCTTGAGTTGCCTGTGTTTGTTATTCTAAGAGTAGCTGTAGGAATAGTGACATTAATTATTGAACTGAAAGTAGATGAATACATTCTGCATGGTGTTCAAAAGCACTCTGGGAGCAGAGTCACAATCCGGAATCCCTTCTGAGCACCTGCACCTGCTTTCCAAGGCGCTTTTACTGTCCTTGAAGCACCACCTGACACCAACAAAGTCCCTCTTTTTAAACCAGAGACTTGACTTAAAAGAGAATTGAGAAATCCACATGGTGCCTAATTTTATTTACCAGGGCAGTTATTAAATCAATAACTTATCCTCACATAACTACTTTTGTGTTTCCAGGTGCCATATGCAGAGAAATCCCAGTTCTTTCTCAAATTCATTACTGAAAAGTCTCTTTTGTTCTCTTTCCAGCAAATAGGCACTTCTGTATAGTTTTCTCTTGTTTTGTGTGGGAGTCTCTGAAAACACTGCAGTCAGAAATGAAGACAATAATCCTGCCATTTTCTCTGTGGCAGAAGTCAAACTTAAAAACACGTTTTAAGTCTCTCTAAGAAAGAACAGGGCTTAAAGAAATTAGATGAAGGATGACAAAATTTCAGTAAGTGAAAATAGACTGGTATAACAGGCTTGAATTTTAATTGAAGTGATTTGGATTGGGGATTAGAATTTCCTGACATAATAGTTATGAAAACTGGGAAAACGTATCAACAAAGTAATTTAATTGTTTTATTTTAGAGAGCTTCTGAGTTGGAATAAAGATGGAACAGAGTATTTCAAGGCCTCTCCCAGTGTTATGATTTTGTGCTTTTTCTTCATTGTTTGAATCTCCAGTTAGATTTAATTTGTGTTACAAAATAAACTATCCTAACCCTCTTTGCAAATGAATTTCATTTCTGAATCACTATAAATGACAAAGCGATTCTTAGTATTTACGTATGGTGCTTATCAGTTATAAGTAGCAGATTACTACTTGTAATGCTAAAATCAAGTAGCAGATTACCACTTGATCAATGACGAAGTTGGGCTTCCTCACCCCCACAGCTTCCTGTTCTGTTTATTTTTCCTCCTTTACGGACACTCCTTCCAACTTTTTAAATATCCCAAATCTTCATGTTTTATTTTGCTTCATCTTGATTACAGAATCAATGTAAATTATTGATAGCACCTTAAGACAGCATTGCCCAAAATATGCTGAAGAGAACATTAGGTTCTTGGTATATTAAGGAGACTTATTGAAAAAAAGTCAAATATATTTCAAGAAATGTGGTAAATGTTATTTTCGGCACTTAGAGCTTTAATATGCTAATGTGTATTATGACTCACCAGGAGAGAGCTATAGTAGATAATATTTCCAAAATTATTTGGACATAGAATCTTTTCAGTTTTTTCTCCATGGAACAACTCAGGTGGACTTCAAATTCTATGAAAGGCATTCTGAGAAACCCCAGGGAAAAGAAGGATGTTAGGTTTCTGAGGAGTCTTCCACCCAGGGGTTTTGCCAGCTCCTGTGACTATTAAACCTGGCACTGTGGCCATGCATCTAGAAGTCCTTAACTCTAGCTCCTAAATTCATTCTCCATACATGTGTTACACTGACCTATAAGGCTCAAGGAATAGAAAAAATAGATATTTGCATTCAAAACACAACTGTTCTGAATAAGATATGGTCTAGAATAAACAGACTAGCTGGGGTTTAATTTTATATGCATTGCTTGCATTGAGCTCTAAACACACTTTACTGCTATCTTTCTATATTAAAAATTAATTTTATTCAATATAATTTAATGAATTCAAGACTTATTTGTTTAATGCTTACTATATGCCAAGAATTATTCAAGAAACTCAATAAATATTTGATAATATTATTAAGTATAATATTCAATGATATAAACTATTTTACAGGCACAATACAAACATTTTATTAAAATCTAACCAAAGAGGACCTTGTTAAATCAACATCTAAAACAAATCAACTATGGACTATCTTTTTTAAAGAATTGAAATGAGATTTTTATTTTGCTTTTGGCTTAATTCCATGAAAGATGACAACTTTTTGTTAGGTACTAACTTTTTTATGTATATTTGCATTCTTTAATGTTTATTTATATATATTTTTTCTTATCAAATGACCAACATGTTCATCAATACAGTACTTATACAGCCTGACTCTCCTAGAGCACAGTATCTCCAAAAATATTTCACACTTTAAAAAGTGCTCAAGTTCTTTCAGACCAAAAAAATCTACTGCATCCTAAAAGCAATATGTAGAATATGATCAAAATGGTTCTAGAATATTTTACACTAAGCCTATTCAACAGTGGACAAAGCCCAGCATCATTAGCAAATTACAGCTTCACTATATTAATTAGCCTAAGGAAATTGATATAGCCTCCAGCTGTGCCTAATTTATAGTCAGAAAGATGCTAATAACTTCCCTGTTTGCATACATGATGCTTTGCTAAACATTAAAAAAAGCCTTAATTTTCAGAGTCTAAAGAAATGCAATCTTCTGTGGTACTTGTGATATAAAGTGTTGAATCGATGCAGAAAACCCAGCAGTTATAAATTAAAAGAGCACAGGTAAGGCACAGAAAGGGTGTGTCAAGTTGAAGACTTCGGGCGGTTATTATCATATAGATTGGTCTTAAAGTCAAGTAAAAAAATTGCCAAGGAAGGAGGCAATTTCCACCAGGAGGACAGAGTGATATGAGAGGACTAAATTATCTAGAAGATTCAGTTATATTACTATAGTTCTGTTGCTAAATCTACCAAACAGAATTTGAAGTCTTTTATGCCAGGACTGTGATGCAGTACTTGGTAAATTAAATGTTATTAAATTTCAAGTGCATCATTTTCATCCAACTGCATTTGTAAGATTTTAATAAGTTATGTCTATGTTAGATACATAAAAATGTAGCATTCACACTGGAAGCACTGTTCTGGTAAACATATTTGATTCTATTTTTATAACTGAAAAGACTCCACTGGATCGCTAATGTTTTGAACCAAAGAAGCATATTTCATCTACAGAACTCTGTATTTTTTAAACATTATCATTAATCCTCAGAACAAACCTGTCACTGCAGGGAGGTCTGGGACTAGGTGTTCTTCTCCCAACAAGGAGGAAATCTTTAGACACAGCGTCTAGAATCAGAGACGTAAATCTCAGAAAATCCTAAAATACCAGCAGCAGCTCTAAAGTTTTAACACACTCAAGACTTTTAAGTCAAAGAAATCCCAGAGTACACCTGAACTTCGAGTGGAAAGAAACTGTGCACCTGAGATGGGTGCAATATAAATTCTCACACATGAGATTTTGCCCTTCTATTATGTCAAGCCAAGAAATATGGGTTACAATAGTCCCAAGAGATGTCAGAAAGCACGAATTGTGAAGAGACTTTAGATCTGTACACTTGTGTGTTCTTTTAAGTTGGACTTTTTCTTTCACACTAGTGATTTATTTTTAAAATAACCTAATCCCCATTAAGTGTGGGATATATGTAGCAAGTCAAGTGTTCCAGCTGAGAGCTCTTTGATTAACTTTCCTTTTCAGTTTATCCAGTCTGTGAAAGGACCACAATATTTGAATGACAGTCACAGGTGAGAAGGAAGAAAATACACTGCTCAGAAATGTGGGTCAATATATTTCCTTATTGCTCAGAAGCTACTGGTGCGAAGGTGTTTTTGGAGAAAATGTTTCTAAGGCTGTGCTGTGATAATAGTCATATTTCTTCTTTACTTACAGCTAAAGGAGAAAATTCTAGATATGATTGTGTGTCAGGAGCTGGAAGACGGTGGTAGAAAGAGCAAAAGCTTTCTCTGTCCATGAAAATCTCATAGTTAGGGCATGCTGATTTCAAATTTTACATCTTTGACGCAGTGATTTAAGTATTTCTTGCTTTGATTTTATTTTCCAATATGTTAACATATTCATTTTTGTGATAAAAAAATGTAGTCTTGACTATTGGAGATGTTAAGATTGGAGAATCACTTTTGATTAGTTGATTCATTTATTTATTCATGCATTTGTTCATTCAGCAGATGTGTTTTGAGTAGTTCTATGTGCTGGCCAATGTGTTAGATGCTAGCAATACAGTTAACAAAACAGAGTCCTCATCCTCAGAGATTCCAAGACATGGCAATAGTCATTTATATACTCAAGAAAGTAGTTACTAAGGTCCTAATATGTGCCAGGCATTATGCCTAATTTGGGGATATAGTGGTGAACATGACAAATGAAATCCCTGCTATGATCTGAACGTTTATGCACCCCCAAAATTCATATGTTAAAATCCTAACCTCCGAGGTAGTGGTATTAAGTGGTGGGGCCTTTAGGAGATGACAGTGTTGTCATGCATGTTATTAGCACCCTTATAAAATGGGCTCGAAGAAGATATTTTTGCCCCTTCTACCATGTGAAGACACAGTGAAAAGTCACCGTTCTATAAACCAGGAAGTGGAACCTCAGTAGACACTGAATCTGCTGGTGCCTTGATCATAAACTTCCCAGCCTTCAAAGCTGTGAAAAGTTTCTGTTGTTTATAAGCCACTCAGTCAGTGGCATTTTTTTATAGAAGCCCCAGTGGACTAAGACAATTCCAGACCTGATGAAGTTCACATTAGAGTGCAGAGATAAGTAAATGAGTAATTGAGATGACAAGGTAGAGAGTAACTCAGGATGTGGAGTGGCCAGAGATGTTTTCTGAGCTAAGACTGAATGATTAAAATGAGTTGAATCTGCCACACAAAAAAGGAAGGAAAAACTATATTCCAGACATAGAGCAGGGCAAAATCAAAGGCCCTGGTGCAATATCCAAAAGGCAGTGTGGCTACAGTCCTGAGCAAGAAGGAAGGAGGCATAAAGCATGGGTGAGAGTTGGACAGGGACTACATAATGCAAAGCCTGCTGGACCACAGCAAAGAGTCTGGGTGTTATTCAAAGTGAAAATGAAAGCCAGTGATAATTTTAAACAGAGGACTAAAGTGATTCAATGTGTTTTAAGAAGGCTACTATAAGAAGAAAAGAAAGAAGTACACAGTGATGTGGGCAAGCTGTTATTGCTGAAGTCCAGACAAAAGATGTCAGGACTGAGAAGAGGACAACAATAGAGCGATTCTCTGGGAATAGAAGAGAAACTTGAGCAGCCACAATATTCTAAAGGTAACAACACTAACCATGACAATAACAATAATAAACTATTTTTTGTACCTGTCAGTGTGGTTTGTAGATATTAGACCCTAGCTCCTCAGATGAGGTATCAGTATATCTATTTTACATACAATGAAACTGAGTTTTAAAGAGGTTAACCAACTTGCAAAATCACATAGACACTAAGTGGCAAAGGTAGAATTTGAACTAAAGTTTCTGACTCCACATCAGGGCTTTTAACTCTTAAAAAGCTCTTAACTATTAAAGGAACAATTACACTGGCAAGAATACTTAACACATACAGTATGTTAGTCTGAATCAACAGTATTGCTAATTATATAGTTATATAATTATATAGTAGTTGTATAATTATATGTAATAATAGATTATAAAACTTTGATAATTAAGTATAATATGCTGTATACTTATAATTTGCTAACATAAGTTGTATAATATAACTGGAGTTATTATTCAATTGGTAAAACTGTTCACTCCAATTGTCTTTGCTGGCTTCTTTTCCTCACAGCGTTGGAGTTCTACAATGTTCTGTTCTAGGTCCACTTAGCTTCTTTTCCAGTTTGGTCTCCCTAGCTGACCTCTTTCATTCTCAGGAATTCAAAATTCATTTTTGCCAATGACCTTAAATCAATAAAGCAGACTAGAATCCATAGATCCAAATGTCTACTACATATCTGTACTTGATATCTCACCAAGTATGTCAAAAACAACCGCACAAAAGTTAACCCAATCTTTCCCATAAAACTACTTGGCTTTCTGTCACCACATCTCAGTAAATGATCCTTCTGTTTATCCAGTTTTTCATGCCATAAGTTTGGGAGCTGTCCTTAATTACTTCCTCTTCCTCATCCTCAGCATCTAATTCATCACCAAGTCTTGTTAATTCTATCTAAAAATATGTTTCAGATCCATCCACTTGTCCTTTTTCTCCATATTCTCTGTTATTACCTTAGTTGAAGGCACCATTATCTCTTAGTTGGATTATTGCAATATTCTCATAATTAATCTCTTTTCATCTATTCTTTTCATCTCTAACCCAATCTCCATTTTCGGCAGCAAATATCTTTATAAAACATAAATTGCATTTTGTTATACCTTTACTTTAAACCCATCAATGTCTTCCAGCAGATAATAAAACAGGTTCAAACTCCTTACCACCACATGCAAGGCTCTGCGTGACCTGGCCTTTGCCTCCTTCTCCAGCCCCCTCTACTACCACTGTTGCTCTAGCACACACATTACAGCTACATCAGTCCACACAATCCCGCAACCAAGAGAAACTTGCTTTTCATTCTCCCTGGAATGCCCTGTCCTCTATTCTTCCTCTCTATATGCTAGTTCATATATATCATTAAGATTTCATCTTAGATTGTGTTTTTTCAGAGTCCTTTCCTGATCCCTTGATCTAAATTTGGTCTCCCTATTATGCTCCTCTTACAACATTTAACATATTTTATAATTATATTTTTATGTTCTACTTACATAATTTTTCATCTTCCCTAATAGAACAGCCAGTGGTAAAGCTTACTGAAAGATTAAAGCAGCTCAATGTAGGTAGGACCACTAATGGCTCATATTTTAAAGAGTACAGGTTTGAGTCACCCTATGAGCTTAAGACCCCCAAACAGCTAAAGTGCTTAGTCAAGAAGTTCCAACATATTAATACTACTCTTTAATCAAGATCAGCCATCCATTCAATACAATGACAACCTTATTTGCTTGTTAGCTGATTGGCATGAGCATTCCAAGGTGGCTAGAGCAATCTCAAATTCCAGGTCCATGGAATCAATGTTGGGTTCCCTTTTGGAAACATTTCTCCTTTGAGAACTAAGACCACTCAAGTACCAGAGCCCAAATATGTAGAGACAAGAAGACAAATTTTGTATGTGAGTTACAAGGAGTAATAGCAAAATAGAGCCACTTCCACACCTTGATTCTCACATGCATGTGTTCTGGCTATGGAGAAAATGGCACCATATCTTAATCACTGGATCAACATATATGCTCCACCTCCACGCATGAAAATATCAAAAATGCTGTAGACAAAAAAGACAATGTTTCAGTTAGAATAAATCACTGATTCTTCAATGACAAAAGAAGTCCAATGTAAACAACCTGCCACAGTGTAGCTAGCTGATTCCCATGGGGAATGGTGGCACATCTGGGGCTTAACCCTGGTTTCTGCTGTTGGCATGTTGCCCATTTAGCAGTGCAAGTAACCAGATTAGTCTCAGTGGGAAAAAAATATCCTTCTGAGCATGCATAGTCTCCTTCTATGTCGTTATGTCCACCTTGTTCATGATCCTATAGAGCAAGCACAAGAACTGGTAGGAAAAGAAGCTTGCTGTTCCACAAAACAGATCATCTTGCCCTCCTGATTACTGAACCCCTCTGCAGTGAGTGTGCTTTGGAGCATTCACATGAGGCACAAATATTCTCACAGTCTGGGTCTACAACCACATATTTCCTCTCCACAACTCCTCGTGATTGATTTTCCAGTTCTGTGGTTTCCAGGTCTTTAACCATTTGGCTAAACTGTTAACTTCTTCTCTTTAATCCACGTAGATCTTTTTTTCTGTCTGCGTCTTTTGCCAGACACCTAGGATAACTAGATATACTGCTTGATGTTCTACCACTGGCAGGATTTTTCTTCCCCACTGTCCTTCCAAGCCGCTCTTAAGTTAAATTATAATGTTGCAGCATTGAATTCTGGCAGGTGCCTGGATATCATGCAGAATCATTGGTAAACCAGACCTGAATGTTCTTCTTCCTAAATTAGATCATCATAGGGTACTCCCTATGAAACACAGGTGTAGGTTGGGGAAGAGATGTCAAGGCAGCGGGAGTAAGTGCCATGAGTAGTGTAAGTACCTACTCATGCAACTCATATGTTTTTAGGGCCTTCTCGAGACTGATATCATATAAATAAATTCTTACTTGATTATAGAATGTTGTTGCATATCTCAATGTTATTGCTTGGTGGTTCAGGTAACACCCAGTTCATGACAGCAGCTTTGGTCACAGGTCACTTGTTCTTTGGTCAGGGTCCAATATCCAACCGAGATTTTTCTCAAAAAGAGAATAATTATTTGTGAAAAGGGCATAGCTTTGTTTCAGACCATTAAGGATTTGAAATGCAATTATGTTGGGATTGCAGATGATGCCATAGAACATACATAACTGCTGCAGATATTTTAACTGATTGAATCCCATAGGTCACCAGGCTAACATGGTAGAACGGCTTACATAATATCCTGAAGAATCTCTAAAAACTTCTTTTACTATTGGCACCACTCAAAACTGATATCCTTATCAGTAAGTCAAAAATTGGCTACTCAGATATGGTATATATTTCCTCCCTAATCCAAATGAGAGTCTGTTTTTTCTTAGTAGTGAGGGATACAAGACAAAGCAACTTGCCTTTCACTTTGAACAGGACATTACAACATTCTCAGACTACTAAAACTCTAGAATTTTGAACCATATGCAGATCCCTTGAAATTTTATCAGGGTATCTAAGGCATTTAAGTTTTCCTGCTTCCTGTTTCCCAGGTCTAATAAGCATAATGTCATCAATGTAGCATACCAGCAGAATGTTCTGTGGGATGAGAGGACCAAGGCATCTTTGGATCAGATTACTAAGGAAATCTATTTGGGATGCCCTGCAATTCCATACAAATTTTAGAATCAGCCTTTCCACTTCTGGAAAAAAAAAAAAAAAAGGCCATTGAAATTTTGATAAGGACTGAACTGAATCTGTGGATCACTTTGGGGAGTATTGCAATTTTAACCATAGTAAGTCTTCCAACCCATGAGCAAAGGATGCCTTTCCATTTATTAAAGCTTTCTTTATTTCAATAATTACTTTTTTAGTTTTTGGTGTATAAATCTTGCATCTCCTTGTTTAAATGTATTCTAAAGTGTTTTATTCTTCTCGATGTTATTGAAAATGGAATTTTTCTAAGTTCCTTTTTGTATTGTTTATTGCTAGCCTATAGAAATGTAACTTATTTTTTGTATTGCGCCCTGCGACTTTGCTGACATTACTTATTAACTCTAGTGAATAATTTTTAGTGAGATATTTATTTCTTCATATATAATCATGCTATCCATTAACAGAAATATGTTTGCATATTTTCTTTACAGTTTGGTTGCCTTTTCTTTCTCCTACTAATTGCTCTGCAGTTAGTGCTCACTACCCAGCACAACAGGCAATGTCTAGTACAATATTGAATAGCAGTGGTAAACTGGGCATCCCTGTCCTATAGTTCTCAGTGTACAAGTCTTGCACATATTGTGTTAAAGTTATCCCTAGATATCTCATATTTTGATGCCATTATAGATGATATTTTTAATCCCCATTTCCAATTTTTTGTTACTTATAAAAGTACAACTGATTTGTATATTGGCTTTATATTCTCAGACCTTATTCATTCTAGCAGCTTTCCAACAGATATCTTTAAAATTTCTAATTCACTATTATGTCATCTGTGAATACAGAAAAAAAAATCACTTCTTTCCAATCCGCATGGTTGTGATTACTTTTCCTAACCTTAGTGCTAAGTTCTAGATCCTCTATTACAATGTTAAAGTGACAGTAAGAGCGAACATCCTTAACATGTTCCTGGTTTTTGGTGGTAATGCATTCAGTCTTTTACTATTAAACATGGTAACACCATGTTAACAGCTAACAGCTGTAGGTTTTCATAGGTTTCTTTCAATCCATTGAGAAAGTCTCCTTTAGTTCCTGTGTTACTGGGAGCTTGATTAGGTATGATGGTTGAAGTATTTTTCTGCATCTATCAAGATGACCATATGTGTTTTCTCCTTTTCTCTATTAATGTGATAAATTGCATTGATTTTTTAAAATTGTGAATCAATCTTGCACTACTGGGATAAGCTCCACTTCATCATAACTTATTATCACTTCTCTAAATTTCTGGGTTTGATTTGCATTATTTTGTTGGAAATTTTTTATCTATATTCACGGGGATAATTATTTTTTATTCAATTTTCCTATAATGTGTTTTCTAGCTTTTGTATCAGAATAAGACTAGCATTATCATAAAGTGAGCTAGGAGGTGTTTCCTCTTCTAATTTCTGAAAAAGTTAATGTAAGATTGATTTTATTTCCTTGACAAATATTTAATAGAACTTCCCTTAAAGCAATCTCTCTTGATTTCTCTTTGGGGAAAAAAATTTTCACTATGAATTCCATTTGTTTTGTTGTTGTTACATCGTAATTCTTTTTACATTTCAGCTTATATTTTATATTCAGGAGGTACATATGCAAGTTTGTTACCTGGGTATATTGTGTGATGCTGAGGTTTTGGGTACAATTGATCTAGTCACCCCAGTAGTGAGCATAGTACCCAACAGGTAGTTTATCAATCCTTTCACCCCTCCTTTCCCCTCTAGTAGTCCCCACTGTCTATTATTCCCATTTTTATGTCCATGAGTATTCAATGTTTAGCTCCCACATGTAAGGGAGAACATGCAGTGTCAGGTTTTCTGTTTCTATGTTAATGAATACAATTTTTAACAGGTATAGGGCAATTTGGATTTTCCATTTCTTCTACTTCTGAGACAGTTTAGTACTTGTATTTTGTTCACAGAATTTGTTAGGTTATTTAATTTATTGGCATAAAGATGTACATAACATTCTTTATTGGACTTTATATTCTGTGGGATCTGTAGTAGTATCCACTCATGCAATTTCATTTCTGTTATCAATAATTTGTATTTTCTTTTTTCTTGGTCAGTCTAACTAAAGGTTTATTGATTTTATTAATCTTTTCAAAAAAACAGTGTTTGGTTTCATTGATTTTGTCTATTTTTTGTCTCCTTTTATTTTTGCTGTATTATTACTGTATTATTTTCTTCCTTCTACATATTAATACTTGGGGTAAAAATGCTAGATGATTGATTTTAACATTTCTTCTTCTCTAATATAAGCATTTTAAGCTATAAATTTCCACCTCTGATTCAACGCAGTGATTTAGCTGTATCTCACTAATTTTAACATGTTTTCATTTCATTCAGTTCAAAATATATTCTAATTTTTCTCATGATTTCTATTTTGACCCATGGCTTATTCAGAAATGTGTTGTTTAATTTCCAAATATTTTGGAACATTAAAGGTATCTTTCTCTTGTTGGCCACTAATCTGTTCTATTTTGACCAAGTATTATTTTCTATATAGTTCTGAGCCTTTTATATTTATTGACACTTATTTTACTTCCCATCATATTACTATATTACTACATATATTATATACTACTATATTACTACAAATACTATATTACTGAATGTTCCATTTGTGTCTGAAAAGAATGTGTAGTCTGCCATTGTGGGTAATAATTTTCAAAAAACATCAATTAGGTAAAATTAGTTGGCGTTGTTTTTTAACTTTTCTATATTCAAAGTAATTTACTGGTCTATCCATTACTGAGAAGAAATACTAAAATCACCAATTATAATTTGTATGTATCAATTTTTCTTTTCAGTTCTGTCAGTTTTTGCTTCATGTGTTTTGAAGCTCTGTAACTGATAAAAACACATAAAGAATTATGCATCTCATTTATGCATATTTTATCATTATGAAATATTTTACTTCATCTCTCTATATATTCCTAGCCCTAAAGTCTATTTTTCCTGATATTAATATGTGCACTTCTGCTTTCTAATATTACTGTTTGCATCATATATCTCTTTCCATTCATTTACTTTAAAGCTACTTGTGTCTTGTTTTTTCCCCCTACTCTGGAAATCTCTGCTTTTTCACTGCATGTTTAAACTAATTTATGTGAGATATATCTTATTATATTTGGGTATTAATCTATCACCTTGCTATGTGCTTTCTATGTATCCCATATGATTTTTGAGTTTTTATTTTGCTACTCTTTTTCTTCATTCTTTTGGATTGATTAGTTTTTTAATTTTTCAGTTTATCTCCTTGATTGCCAAATAGTTATATCTCCTTTTTTTGGTAGTTACTGTAGATTTTATAATATCGATCTTTAATACATTACAGTCTACCTTCCAATAAGATTACACCATTTCATACATAATATAAGGTCCATTCCCTCCCTATCTCTTTATTTTTTGGCTATTTTGGTTATTTCTAAATACCTTATAAATGCCTTATTGTTATTACATATTGTCCTTGGGAGTCATTATCTTTTAGAAAAAAAAATGGAAAATAATAAAAATTTTTCATATACTTTACAAAAAAATTTCATTAACTTTTCTTGTTATTGCTGATCTATTAGAACAAAATTTTTCAACTTGCCTCACTGAAAATTATTTGAATTCTTTCCATCTTGAAGAACAATTTATCATAGAAAATCCTACATTTACACACTTTTCTTTTACTTTCAACAATTTAAAAATGTCATTTCATAGTTTTCCAGCAAATGTTGCTTCCAGTGAGAAATGGCAGGTCTTTTCTATCTTTGTTTTCCTGCAAGTAATAAGTTCTTTATTCTCTAGGTACTTAAAGATTTCCTTGTTTTTTGTTTTTGTTGTGTGTGTGTGTGTGTGTGTTTTCTTTTTTTTTTTTTTAGACAGAGTCTTGCTCTGTCACCTAGGCTGGAGTGCAGTGGTGCAATTTTGGCTCCACAGCCTCCACATCCTGGGCTCAAGTGATTCTCGTGCCTCAGCCTCCCAAGTAGCTGGGATTACAAGCACCTGCCACCATGCCAACTAATGTTTGTATTTTTAGTAGAGACAGGGTTTCACCATGTTGGCCAGGCTAGTCTCGAACTCCTGACCTTAAGTGATCTGCCCGCCTTGGCCTCCCAAAGTTCTGGGATTACAGGCATCAGCCATCATGACCTGCCTAAGATTTTCTTTTATCACTAGTCTCCAGAAATTTAATTATAATGTACTTTAGGATAGTGTTTGTTTTCTTTCTTTCTGGCCCTGCCTTATGTTCATTGAGTTTCTTGGCTATGTGAATGTATAGTTTCACCAAATATAAAACATTTTTGGCTATAATTTCTTTAAATATGCTTTCTGATCCCTTTCTGATATCTGATTCAATATTTCATACTGCTTTATGTTGTCTCAAAGGCCATTAGGGTTTTATTCACTTTTTTCAACTCTATTTCCTGTGCCTCTGCCTGGATTGTAATCTCTTCAAATTTACTTATCTGTTCTTCAGCAGTGTCTACTCTCCTTTTAGGCCCACCAGGAATTATTTTATTTTACTTTTATATTGTATTTTAGCCCTAGAAATTTTACTTGCTTTTTTTATAGCTTCCATTTATTTTTGAATAAAGTTTATGTTTTCCTTTAAATCTTTTCACATATTTATAACAGTTGTTTTAAAATTCCTGTTTGCTCAACAGATAACGGGCAAGGCTGTGGAGAAATAGGAACACTTTTACAATGTTGGTGGGAGTGTAAATTAGTTCAACCATTGTGGAAAACAGTGTGGTGATCCTCAAGGATCTAGAACCAAAAATACCATTTGACCCAGCAATCCCATTACTGGGTATATACCCAAAGGACTATAAATCATTTTACTATAAAGACACATGCACATGTATGTTTACTGCAGCACTATTTACAATAGCAAGGACTTGGAACCAACCCAAATGCCCACCACTGATAGACTGGATAAAGATACTACAGCACATATAAACCATGGAATACTATGCAGCCATAAAGAATGAGTTAATGTCCTTTGCAGGGACATGGATTAAGCTGGACGCCATCATTCTCAGCAAACCAACACAGGAACAGAAAACCAAACACCACATGTTCTCACTCCTAAGTGGGAGTTGAACAATGAGAACACATGGACACAAGCAGGGGAACATCACACACCAGGGCCTGTTGTGGAGTGGGGGGCAAGGGGAAGGAGACTATTAGGACAAATACCTAATGCATGTGAGGCTTAAAAACTAGATGACAGGTTGATAGGTGCAGCCAACCACCATGGCACGTGTATACCTATGCAACAAAACTGCACATTCTGTACACGTATCCCAGAACTTAAAGTAAAATAAATAAATATATAACTAACTAAATCAATAAATAAAATAAAAAGTCCTGTTTGGTAATGTCATCATCTCTATTATTTCAGGGTCTGTTTCTAATGACTTGTTTCTCTCTAGTTCCTTGATTCTTCACATATCTAGTGGTTTATACTGGATACCAATATCATGATAAGTATATAGTTCAGAGTCCAGATTGTATAGACTCTCTTTAAAGAACAGGGAGTTTTATTTTGACAGGAAACTAAATTATTATCATAGCAGCTTGATCCTTCAAACCACATTTTTAAACAAAACTCTCTGTGTATTCAACAAAGTCTTTCCACTCTCATTTGTCAAAACATAAACTCTTCCAGGCTCTATATGAACTCTGGGAATTATTTAGCTTAGAGCTGCCTACTAGTTTTTCATTGTCCAGCATCACAGAGTCTCACTTTATGAACAAAAAACTTAATATTCAGGCAAAGACTGCAGGAAATCACCACACAAAATTCTGGAGCTTTTTCTGTATATATTTTCCTTCTCTCCAGAACACTGCCTCACATGTTTCAGCTCCCTCTGCCTACTGAACTCCAATCTCTGTCTCCTCAACTCAATGAAACTGTTATACTCTATTGGAGTTTCCCTTCCCTGCAATGTGGCCAACAATTTTTCTCCAAGCAGAAAATCAGAGCAATCAAAGATCATATTGTTTGTTTTTCTTCTCTCAATGATCTCAGAGATTACAATTCTAGCTTGTGGTTTGTTCCCTGGAGCCTCTTCTGGTACCAAATATTTTCTGTCTCAATCAGTGTTCAGTCAGGAACACAGATACAATCTAGGTATTTCAAATTGGAATATATTTTACACAGGGAAATAGATAACTACTAAACCACTGGAAATGCTGAAAGAATAAATATCAGGAATGGCCACCCACTCATAGATCTAGGCTTTGCTCTTAGCTCTGAGAAAGTTAGAAAGTGTAGGGAAATACACTTTCTAACTTTGCTCTTAGGCTTTGCTCTTAGCTCTGAGAAAGTTAGAAACTGTAGGGAAATACAAACAGTAAGGTGATGCACCTCCAGCAAAAAGATAGGTGACCTGTAGGAAAAAGCCTGAAAGTCACTGCAAAATTTCATGTCTGCTAAGGCCCATGCATCTTCCTGCCATTCCAGAGGAACAAATATAATATGGTATCTTTTTCTCATCTACCTTCTATATATTATAGAAATGCTCCTCACTGAAGATAGAAGAGAGAGCATAGAAAGGGGTGATATTGAGTTTCTAACAGATAATTGAGGAAAAAGAAAAAAATTTGATTCAGAGCCAAAAGTATCTGTTCAAATCCTGGATCTGCCACAATTTTCTGCATGATCAAAGCAAATCACATAACCTCTGGTGTCAAGGATCCCCAAGACCATCCTCAGTTTCAGTAATTTACTATTAATAGAAGGATTTGCTAATATAACAGAAAAACTGTTATACTCAATATGACTGCATTAGTCTGTTCTTACACTGCTATAAAGAACTACCTGAGACTAGGTAATTTATAAAATTAAATAAAAGAGGTTTGACTCACAGTTCCACAGGCTGTACAGAAAGCATAGCTTGGAGGTCTTGGAAAACTTACAGTCATGATGGAAGGCAAAGGGGAAGCCAGCACATCTTACCACATTGGTGCAGGAGAGAAAAAGAGTGAAGGGGGAAGTGTCATACACTTTTGAACCATCAGATCTTCTGAGAACTCACTCACTATCATGAGAACAGCAAGGGGGAAATCTGCCCCCATGATCCAATCACATCTCACAAAGTGCCTCCCCCAACATTGGGAGTTAAAATTCAACATGAGATTTCGGTGGGGACACAGAGCCAAACCACATCATTTTGGCCCTGGCCCCTCTCAAATCTCATTTTCCTTCTCACATTTCAAAACCAACCATGCATCCCCAACAATCCCCCAAAGTTTTAATTCATTCCAGTATTAACTCAAAAGTCCAAGTCCAAAGTCTGATCTGAGGCAAGGCAATTCCCTTCCACCTATGAGCCTGTCAAATTAAAAATGAGTTAGTTACTTCCAAGATACAGTGGAAGTACAGGCATTTGGTAAATGCTGCCATTCCAAATAAAAGAAATTGGCCAAAACAAAGAATCTACAGGGCCCACACAAGTCCGAAACCCAGCAGGGCAGTCATTAAATCTTAAAGCTCCAAAATAATTGCCTTTGACTTCATGTCTCACATAAAGGGCACGCTGATGCAAGAAGTGGGCTCCCAAGGCCTTGGGCAGCTGCACCCCTGTGGCTTTGCAGGGTACAGCTCTTGTGGCTGGTTTCATGGCTGGCATGGAGTTCCTGCAGCTTTTCCAGGTGCACAGTGTCAGCTATCAGTGAATTTACCACTCTGGGGTCTGAAGGACGGTGGCCCTCTTCTCACAGCTCCACTAGGCAGTACCCCAGTGGGGAGTTACTCAGTGTGGAGACTCTAACCCCACATATTCCCCCTACACTGCCCTAGTGGAGGTTCTCCATGAGGGCTCTGCCCCTGCAGCAGACTTCTGCCTGGAAATCCAGGTGTTTCCATATATCCTCTGAAATCTAGGTATCTACCCAAACCTCAACTCTTGCCCTATGTGTATCTGCAGGCCCAACACCACATGGAAGCTGCCAAGGCTTGGGGTTTGCAACCTCTGAAGCCACAGCCCAAGCTATACTCTTGCCCCTTTTAGCCATTGGAGCAGCTGGGATGCAGGGTGCCATGTCCCAAGAGCCCTGGGCCTGGCCCACAAAACCATTTTTCCCTCCTAGACCTAGCCTGTGATGGGAGGGGCTGCTGTGAAGATCTCTGAAATGCCCTGGAGGCATTTTCCCCATTGTCTTGTCTATTAAGGTTTGGTTCTTCTTTATTTATGCAAATGTCTGCAACTGGCTTGAGTTCCTCCTGAGAAAATGGGTTTTTCTTTTCTACCACATGGTCAGGCTGCAAATTTTTCAAACTTTTATGCTCTGCTTTCCTTTTAAATATGTTTCTATTTCAGATCATCTCTTTGTTTATGCAGATGAGTATAGGCTTTTAGAAGCAGCCAATCTACATCTTGAATTCTTTGCTGCTTAGAGATTTCTTCTGCTGGATACCTTAAATTACCTCTCTTAAGTTCAAAGTTCCACAGATCTGTAGAGCAGGGGCACAATGCCACCAGTCTCTTCACTAAAACATAGCAAGAATGACCTTTACTCCAGTTCCCAATAAGTTCCTCATCCCCATCTGAAACCTCCTCAGCCTAGACTTCACTGTCCATATCACTATCAGCATCAGAATGGTCACAACCATTCAACAAGTCTCTAGGAAGTTCCAAACTTTTCCTCATCTTCCTGTCTTCTTCTGAGCCCTCCAAACTATTCCAACCTCTGCCCATTACCGATTTCCAAAGTCATTTCCACATTTTCAGGTATCTTTATAGCAATGCCCCACCTCTCTGATACCAATTTTATGTATTATTCCATTTTCACACTGCTATAAAGAACTAACAGACTGGGTAATTTATGAAGAAAAGAGGTTTAATTGACTCACAGTTCTGCAGGCTGTACAGGAAGCCCATGGCTAGGAGGCCTCAGGACACTTAGAATTATGGTGAAAGTGAAGGGGAACCAGGCACATTTTATCATGGTGGAGCAGGAGAGAGAGCCAAGGGGGAAGTGTCACACACTGCTAAATCATCAGATCTCAAAAATCACTCACTATCAGGAGAACAGCAAGGGAGAAATCCATCCCCATGATCAAATCACCTCCCACCAGGTCCTTCCCCCAACATTGGGAATTACAATTCAGCATGAGATTTGGATGGGAACACAGAGCCAAACCATATCAATGACATATTACAGTGAAAGACTACAAATTAAAATCAACAAAGGGAAAAATGCATAGGGAGGAACCCAAAAGAAACCAGGCACAAGCTTCCCTTTGCCCTCTCCCCAGTGGAGTTATAAGAACAGTGCTTAATTCTCTCAGCAGTGATCTGTGACAACATATGTGAAGTGTTATAAGACGGGAAACTCACCCGAGCCTTGGCATCTAGGGATTTTATTGGGAGTCAATTACACGGGGATGTAATACAGCCTCCCAGGGGTAAATTTGGATACAGAGTGTCCCAAATCTTCAGGCATGCAAAAAGAGCTATTCACCAGAAATCACACTGTTGGCATTAACTATCTGGTGAACCAAGGCAGTCATTCAAAGACTGTCTTATCAGGGAGGATAGTCCAAGGACTGAGAGGTCATCTCCCTAGAGGCATGCAAAAGCTAGTCTTTGGTAGCCCTTCCCTTCTTATAACAGTTGAATAGAAGGATTTGAGGAGCCCAGGCCTGCTAGTTAGCCCGGCACACCTCGCTCAACTCAGGCTCCATCATCTATTTACAACAAGCTTAGGTTTGTTGTAAATAATAAATGGAATTGTATATATGGAAAGTGTCTGTATAACTGATAAAGAGTTAATATTTATTCATTTATTTGGTATAGTTCCAAAAAAAAGGAAAAGGAACCTGTATACCTTTTCCAAAATCAAAATATCTATATGGTTTTTACATAGCAAATAAACAGATAATTAACTGATAATCATCACACAATATTGTCTGTTCAGTGTGGTTATCCAGATGTGTCACCCACTAGAAACTCTTCTAAAGGTATGCCATTTGTTCTTTTTAAGTAGAATCTTATCATTGAGGGCAGATTCATATTGGTGTGTGGTTTGTGCCCTGCACAAGGGTACCTCACTTAGGGGGTAAAGTCAGAAACTCAAAGGCACTGTAAGTTTTGCTTGCCACCCTGAGTGACACCAGCTCTATCTAACTGGGGGCATTTTATTATTTTTTTTTTTTTTTTTTTTTTTTTTTTTTGAGACGGAGTCTCGCTCTGTCGCCCAGGCTGGAGTGCAGTGGCGGGATCTCGGCTCACTGCAAGCTCCGCCTCCCGGGTTCACGCCATTCTCCTGCCTCAGCCTCCCAAGTAGCTGGGACTACAGGCGCCCGCCACTACGCCCGGCTAATTTTTTGTATTTTTAGTAGAGACGGGGTTTCACCGTTTTAGCCAGGATGGTCTCGATCTCCTGACCTCGTGATCCGCCCGCCTCGGCCTCCCAAAGTGCTGGGATTACAGGCGTGAGCCACCGCGCCCAGCCCATTTTATTATTATTATTATTATTATTATTATTTCATACATAGGCCTGTAAAAGCTGGTGGTAGCCCCATCACTATTGCTATCTCCATGTTATAGTGACAAAACTAGTAATTTAGTTAATAGTGGCTTAAAACATTACGTGTCAAGATTACCGTCATGGATTTATTTGAGGAGCTATGGGCATTCTAAATGTTTACCATACTAACCCTAATTGCCATGTTACTGAATACAAGATGAAACTTGCCTAATAAAATAATGTGTTTTATGATATATTGAAACACTGGTTTGGAATAAGAATCAGCTGTTGATATTCTTTAAAAAACACACACACACAAATATTCTGCACACACAAGACCATTTCCAAAAGCTACAGAGCAGAGGTGTTGCTCAGATCCTCTGCTGTTTATTTTAGCATTAAAGCCATTAGCTCTGGTTATTAGATCCTCACAGGAGATGAGAAGGATTACTGTTAATCAGAGGGAGTATAAATTACCATGTATGCTGATGACATTTTAATGTTCATGACAAATCCAGACAAATCTTGGTAGGCATTGTTGGATTTACTGGATTAATTTATGTAACTGTCAGAATATAAAATTAACTGTGAAAATCTAGTCTGACGTCAATGAATGACTTTCATATAAAGCAACTGATCACTTACCTGCCTTTCCCTTAGAAACTACTTGGGGATATACTACCTTAATATTAAGGACTCTGTAATCTTAGCAAAATCATAAACATTGAAAATAAAACCAGGCAAAGGTTTACTAACATGAGTTCCTTGGCAGATCATATTTGCCAGCACTTCATGTTTGTTCTCTGTATATTCTCCTTTCTTTTTCTTTCTCATACAGGAGATGTTAGTCTAGGCTTTTCTTACCTGAACACTATCTATCTTCTTAAAATATTTGTCTTCATAGGGCAGGTCATGAGCAATGGAGTAGCAATTTTTATAAGCTTCCCCATATCAAGGATAAGGCTAGACTGCATAAAAGCAAAAGACTGATGAAAAAAAGCGAGGAGTCATATTTCAGTCACCAGAGGACTTTACTCTCTGCTTCCTTGACTTTTAAGCTAACTGACCTGAGAACTAAAAATATCAATCTGTTCCAGTTTTCCAGCTCTCTCCAACTCTCCTCAACCCAGCCCCAGTCCTCAGGAATATTCAGCCCAGCAGAGTCAATTCTACAACATAGAAAAGCAACTGTCAACAAGCATTCAACCATCTTATTTTAAAATCATATTTAAACAGTATGACTTTAATCGACTCTAAATCTCATTATCCATTCTTCATTTGATGCAGAATCAACCTCTGACTTGGTGCAGTATTTCCCCAGATTCCACTGCAGCTAGGAGTATCTAAGTGGTTAACAAGGTATGAAATGAGAATTCTGGAAAGAGATGATTTCTTCTGCAGACACTGATCTTTGCTTCTCCCTTCCTCTTTTCCTGCCTGGGACCCAGACGGGATCCTGGAAGTGCAGCAACCAAATCCCAACCAAAGTTTCTGTAACTCTCTATACTAAGAATGACAAAATATGTTCAAACACGGTATTAGTGTTGTCTATTGTTTGCAGCCAAAACCCTTCTTAACTGATGGAAGCAGAATGTGTTTATAAGTCTTGCACCAAAAAGATATACCACTCAGAGTCTTTAATATGGCAGTGAGACAGTCCATTTCCATGACAGCACTATGTCTCCATAATTGTCAGACAAATTAAAATATGGTTAATTGTTACATAATGTTCCCAATATAATGCCATTTGATGTTTATGATAAAAACAAAGCCATCAAGATGATTGAGTGTGAGCACCAAAAAAACACCCTAGAAGAGATAAAATCATTCTCATTAAGCCATCCCTCATCAGAGAAAGGATGTTGCTGGTTCAGTCGTAGTTTATGGTTAACATTGCAATGGCAGGGCAAGAGGAGAAGGATGGCAGATTAATAACCGGACTAATTGGTTTAAATCTACTTCAATAAGTCTCCAAATATTGCTTTTATCAATACCCAGTGCAAGCTCAGTGCTGTCACAAAGCAGGCACTGCTGCGGTGTACCAGTGTAGAATCACAGAGCACACAAGAAATTTTGACAAGCAGCAGAAAACATTCTGCGGTAGAAAAGAAAATATTTGTCTAGCTTCTCACACAGTGGAGCAACATTTCCATACCTTATTTACTTCTTCTCAAGAGGGTAGACAATTTTTACACTGAGTGAGAAAAGGAAATACTAAAAATGGGAATTATGACACTCATCTGCTTCTCACAAATCAATATTTGTTCAAAACCTCCCCACAATCGCACTGCATGTGAATTAGGCAATGCCAAAATTGCTGCAATCTGGCAAAATGTTAGTGTATGGCGATTATGATCCAAGCTCCGATGTTTGCGTTGGTCCCCTCCACAAGGGAGCAGCCATTGCACACAGGCCAAGGTGGAGCTGGTGTCTGCAAACTCTATCGGCATAAATGGTTGTGTCGCGAACACTTGCTGCGCACCCATCTGTCTTATGCAAGACAAAATGTTTCAATTACGACAACATTATAAAAGGAAGCGTTGATATACTGAAAGAGACTGCTTACCGAGGGTATCCATCCGCACCAAAATAAACATCATATTGTTAATTGCGGCTGACATGCAATTTGCAAAAACACTTGAAGTTATTTGTATTACTAACAGCCATCTGAGGTCTTATTTTATCTCCTTAAATCTGTTGCAGTTTTCTGAATGAATTTTTATGGTCACATTTAAGGAAACAATTAGAAGTGCAAATAAAGAATTCCCGGTAGTCCCACTTATCTTGTTTGATCTGAACCCTCATAAACAAGCCCTTTGAAAAGCTCAGGCGCTTTTCCCCATCTCCTCCTCACCATGACAATAAACCAGTCTAGTAAAGAAAACGTGCAACTGACATCTGAATTATCCCCTTCGAGAGACATCCTGTTAACATTAAAAATTAATCTTTTCACCTTTTGATGTTCCCCAAACTTTCTTTCTGTGTTTAGTCAGTAAGGTTTCCCCTTTAAGCTAGAAATCACAATTTTCCTTTTTTTTTTTTTTTTCCAGGAAGACACTACGATCCTTTTTCTCTACAAATCAAACTGTGTTTTTATATTCCATTCTTCATGGCTTGGGTCCTCCCTACAACATTATTATAGACACTTGCATATATTATATGTACACATGACATTTATGTATTTTTTAAACACTATTGTTGGTGTTGTCAGAAAGCTGGGCCCTGTTCACAAATATGCTCGATAAAAATGGAAAAATAAGAGCTGAATATAAAAGCGCTAGTCCCAACCCTGACGGAGAATCAGTTGCTCACTCTGCCCTTAAGGGAGAAGAGACAGGTCTATAAATAACAGTAATATAAACAGAAATTGATGTGTCATAAAAGAACTAAAAATGAAGCAATAAAGGAGTGCAGAGGGAGACTCCCCCAGCTGGGGGATCAGAAAAGGCTTCCTAGGGAGGGTCTACTTGACAGGTCCACCCACAGGGCTTTAAACAACCAGAAAGACAGAGCTTGGTAGAGATCACAGAGGGAATGACAAGAAAAAGGTGGAGAAACATGTGGAGTGAACAAAGCACACTAAAGACCGCAGCCTGTCCTGAAAACTGGGGGCATGAAGCGGTATAGTAAAAGGTAAGTTCCATCTGAAT
Source organism: Homo sapiens (assembly GCF_000001405.40). Lineage (NCBI taxonomy): Eukaryota > Metazoa > Chordata > Mammalia > Primates > Hominidae > Homo > Homo sapiens. The sequence goes on along the minus strand of NC_000004.12, from coordinate 129,246,145 downwards.
CGATGAATCACATGAAAGCCCCTTCCCTGGAACTGGGAATTCTATACACCTTAGGCAAAATGAAAATCCAACTATAAAAGGGGTTAAATTGAAAATAAGGCTGGTCTCAGAGGTATTTGAAAGCCAGTCTAAGAAATTGAAGCCTTATTTGGTAGACAATCATGACAAAATTTATGACACCATGATAGTACCATACAAAGGCTATCTGGAAGCGGTTTCTAATGTTAACGTGTAGTGAGTGATTCCGACAGGTTGTCAGATGTCTCCCGTGCACAGCGCTATGCACAGACTGCTCATCTACCTGAGGTTGTGTTCTCAACCAATCCCGCAAGAGCCCTAATATTTACCCTCCTCCAGAAAAGAAATATGCAAATGTACTAAGCAATATAACTCCAAGTCAAGGGGCTCACTGGGTCTACCTCCAATTCACAGCAATTTAGAGATTAGAATTAAGACTTTTCCATACTCTGTGAATCATGAGAGTTCCTGACTTCTTTAAACATCTGTACCTACATATAACAACTTTCCCAAATTTCCTCATGGTTTTCCAGCCAATAGCAAAGATAATGAATAAGAGATTTTCACACAAAAAAGGAGACTCACATATATCATTATAATCAGAATACACAGAGTTTTAAAGAATATACATATGTATATGCATATATGTATGTGTGTGTGTGTATATATATATATATATATTCATTAAACACAATGCCAATTCAATTTCCTCGAATACTTGTCAAGACCTATTTTCTGTGAGATTTCTTGCTAACAGGCCCTCAGTCACATTAAGTGTTCACAAAGTGCATAGAAGTTGTATTTTATCGCACAGCCCTAATTGAGCTGTCGAGGTTAAAGAAGCCAAGTGTTACAGAAATGTTTATTATACAAGCACACTTAATCTGAAACTAGAAAAGAACATTTCTGTAGCTTCAGGTGTAATTTATCCCTGCAAAAGGCAAGAAAAAGGACCTTTTTATCACCCTCTCATTTCAGTGAATTATGTTTATAGAGTCCTTCTACTGCTATGAATCTGGTTTCACTCCAACATGAAGAGGAGTTAAGTCCCAAATCCCCCTCAGATGAATCTCATTATGTTCCTTGTCCCTTGTTTCCCATCAAGACACACGTCTTCACCATACATACAGTGAGTCACAGTCATTTACACCTGCTCTAACTTACAGCAGCCATTTATTTATAGCAAGGAAAAGAGAATGTAAATCCAGGTATCCAGAGACATTTATTATTTCATATATTTTTGTTTCGGTCAACTTGCCATTGGGAACTGGGGTGGGGGGCACATTCTTTTTATTTTCTCTCTTTTTTTTCTTTTTTGGTTCTCTATTTTTTTGTCAATTGGTAGGACAAGTAAAGGACAATCTTCATTTTGCTAAATTGATAGTTTTCTCATCTTTGAGTCCTTTGAATCTTAGCATCAGGTTGGCAACAGCAGCCATTAAGATTATCCAGATTAAGCATGGTAAGCAGAATTTAAAATTGTTTTCTACTTTTTATTTTGTTCTACACTAAAACATCAAAAAATAAGCTCATCAAAATGGACAGTATTGCTTAAACCAAGATATTCATCTGCCTCTTCTTAACAAAGAAGATATTCTGTATGTATAGATTATAGTATTGCTTTCAAATTCTAAATTTATTTTAAAATTTAATAAACAAAAGGCTACAAAATTTAATTTGAAATACTTAGACTTCATATAACTGTTTTACCATCTAGAAAATAAATTTCCAATGAACATTTAAATCCAATGAACAAAAATAATAAAATACGGTGAATAAATCATTCTTTCCAACATGAAAAAATATAGTTCTCAAATAGGTATGTAATAGTGCTGGGTAATTCATTCATTCATACAACAAGCATTTATTGAGAGCCAACTATGCTCCAAGCTTTCTTCACTGAACTTATATTCCAACCAGCTGAAAACCATTTCATAAAACAAGAAATAAGAAGGAAGAATTACATAACCACTTGAACATGATTAATTTTTTAAAATTTGTGTAAATTTTAATAGGGTATAATCAAACATTCCAAATGAAATTCGTCCATGGCACCAAAGTAATAACTGTTCAACCAGTAGCATCATAGACTTTTCTCAGAGTCATCTCTCCCTGACAATCCTGGAAGAGAGGTCATTGTTTCAGTAGAGACCTAGAATAATAGGTCAAGACGTTGCGGAATACGGTAACATTAGAACGTGAGCAAAAGTTCATTTCGTTTAACAAAAAAAAATTGTTGAGGTATAATAAAAGAAATTGATATTCAAAAGTCGATGAAAAGTCAGAATGCAAAGCCATAGGTAACTCTCTCCAAAGCTCTTCCCACAGCATCTCGCTGTAGCAGAAAGTAGTAGACTAAGAAAACTGCAATGGAAGTTCAAACACAGCTACTGATACACCAGTTTCTCAAAGCACATCAAAATTAAGTAACCATTAATGAAAGTGATCCAACAACAAATAACTGATTTTTCCTATCATGTTCAAATTTGATAAGCATAATAAAAAACACTATGAAAGTGAGAATAACTAGGAAGGGTGCGGTGTCTCACGCCTGTAATTCCAGCACTTTGGGAGGCTGAGGTGGATGGATCACCTGAGATCGGGAGTTCGAGACCAGCCTGACCAACACAGAGAAACTGCCTCTACTAAAAATACAAAACTAGCCAGGCGTGGTGACACATGCCTGTAATCCCAGCTACTCGGGAGACTGAGGCAGAAGAATTGCTTGAACCCAGGAGGCAGAGGTTGCAGTAAGCCGCGATCATGCCATTGCACTCCAGCCTGGGCAACAAGAACAAAACTCTGTCTCAAAAAAAAAAAAAACACCATTAGAAAATGAGAATAACTAAAAACTTCAAAATGACACAAAAATGTTTATTGTACATTAGTTTTAGATGCTATACAGCCAGGGCCAATGGAGAGGCGTGTGGAGAGGATTATTGTTGGAGAATAGATTCCTGGGAAGATTGATTTTCCTTGTGGTTGCAGGAGCATTTTCAGTAGCAATTAAGGCTAAATGCTTCTTTGTTCCCATCCAGTAAGAGAAAGAGAGTTGCTTCTTCCTCCCAGAAGCCCCGAGCCACTTTACCCAACTTATTTGTCCAAATTATCATGGGCTTATCCATCTTGGAACCAATCCCTGACAAAGGGCATGAAATCACCACAATCGGACAAATCATCTGAGGTAGATGCTGGGGAACTAGGCACAGCATCCCCCACACCATCTCCCAAAGTCCAATTCAGTTAACACTTTTTGCAAAGCTTTCTTCCTCCTTTATCCTTCCTGTCTCCATCCCTAGGCTGGAGGTAAGCTTTCACTACTCAGACCTCTGATAATGTTTACTCTGTACTACTTTTATGATACTTATCAATTCCACACTTTACTATGAATATTGAATAATATTACGAACTATGTTGCATTATAATCCAAATGTGTCCCAGCATCCTTGGGAAGCCTCAACTTGCATTCCACATTCACCTGAGGCTGGACTCAGTAAATCTAGACTTCTCCTATCTACCCTTCCAGCTCCCCCACAAACACCCAACTCCAAAAACACTGGTAATGAGTGTCAGTTTCATTTAAAGATTCACAGACAGAAAAAGACGAGTTCATCTCATGCATTTGACACCACAGAGCAGGCCCTTCCAGATCTCTCCAAAGGCCTGCTGCCTCTGGCCTCCATGGTTCTCTGCCAGCCAGCTAGTTAGCACTGTCTCTACAATCGCACACTCCTGATGCTATGTGACTGATATTCTATCCAGTCTTCTCAAGCAGGAGACAGACTCAGCAAGGAGTCTGCTTGGACAGGATTACCCTCAGCGTCACCGTTGGTTGCTTTCCCCCTGTATGTTATCCACCAGAGAAATTGCATGGACGATGTCTTCACTTTGAATGTCATAACTATATCACTTTCTTGCCTGTCTCTGCCTGGCCCTCCTGTTTCAGTCCTAAATAAACATAAATATAGAGAGAGTAATTATAATATTGGCCCCAACATCCTTTGTCTATAGCCCAACAAAATACTCCATTAGATTTCTGTATTCCTGGCAAAAGTCTTCTATTCATGTCCACCACTTGAACTCTAGCCATACTAGTGGGTGGAGGGCAGAGGTAATATTTTTTATATAGTTGTACATATCTTCTCTTCCTACAAGGGTATAAGATCCTTGAGGGCAGACTCAGTTTCTCACAGACCTGGCATATCATATCCCATTCTCTCAATTAATGCTGAATAAAAGAGAAGGAAATTATAGATGTGTAGCAGATACTAAAGGAATCTTAAGGTTAATTGTACTTTCTCCTCATTTGCTCTGCAATGCTCAAACCTCATATCTGCCAGGTAGAACTCCTATCTAGGTCCAGAATCAAATGAGCTCAAATATAAATGCTTTTTATTAACTTGAAAAGCCAGAAGCCCCTTATATAATATTCCTACCTTATATGTTCTTTGCCAACATCATTGAGGTTGTAGGGACTAGATGTAATGTAAAAACTTAGAAAGGTTCTCTGAGAAATATTGATAAGGGCACTGTTTACCTCATCTCAGAAAAGTTTTACTTCTAAAGGCCAAAATGCCACCATAAATAATTTTCAATAGAGTGTGAGTGACAAAACCTCATTCCTAAAAGTCATTGTGTATGGTTTCTTACTTGTCTCTGCATGGCCCTCCAGCTTCAATCATAAATGACAATTAAAATAACAATGACAATAATAATATCTACCATTTATTGAGTATATACGTCAATCACTGTCCTAAGTATTTTGCATGCATTACCAAATTTAATCACAATGCTACCAAATTTAATTTCATATGAGATAGGGATGGTTAAACCTATTACCATGTGGGAAAATTAAAACACAGAGAAAATACTCATCCAAGATACTAAATAGAGCAAGACTGAAAACGAGCTCTGAAGAGCTTTGTTCTTGCTGTTCTACCTGCAAACTTCATTCTGCACAGACTTGTAACCAGTCAGCTCTAGTCGAGGATCTTCAGCTCCACTAAGTGAATGTCTGGATAAAGGCTGCTGCCCCATTCCTGGTGAGAAGTCAGCCTGGAAGGAATCTAACCCCCCTGCCCCCAGCTGCAGTACTCTATTTCAGGCTCATTATGTGTGAGGTTTAAACAGCTCTGCCTGACTTGACTTCTGCCTTGGCTTCCAGCCAGTTCTCCTCTGGGATCAATAACAGAATGAGTAACTCAGCAACTATAACCCTCTTCCCCCTACCAGCCTGGCTTCCCAGCTCCCCAAGACTAGACTCTGTTTCCCATATCACCTCAGTTACAGGGTGGCCTCTGGGATTAACTGAATGGCTCTGAAAACCCCTGTGATTGGAAAATTCATGTATGAGGCGGGGGTGGGAGGGGCCAGGATCCTAAAACAATAAGTGCAAGAGACAGAGGGAAAGGCCTCCATGAGCTGGGAAAGAAGTCTGAAAACTTCAGCCTTAAAGGAAATTGGGATGAGGGAACTAAACTTACGAGGAAACCCGTTAAAATAAAACAATCTTACATTCACTAAAAACAACCCAATACACAAATAGGATGGCAATTGTATTTTACACACCTAAAATAAACAGTAACAGGCAGTATACAATTACTATCCATTTACAACACCTTATTCAAGAGCAGTGATTTTTAAGTTTTCCTTCCTCTGCAGTTTTTATGTCATGTGTATGATTCATTTTGGATGAACTATTTTACTAGAAGAAAAGACACACATTATGCATGTTATACAAAAACAAATTAGCTCAGTCAAGATTTGGCTCATCTCTTTAAAAAAGTAATAATCATGGAGACAGCAAACATAATAATAAAAGCTATTGTTTATGGAGTGCTCAGTACACATTGTCATTTTGTTGTTGCCATTGTTATCACTTTATAGATGAAGAAAATAAGGTTCAGAGACATTAAGTAACATCACAACAAAGAGTATGTAGCATATGAGAAGCAAAAGAAGGTTTTTTGGTTAGCTGGAATGCCTGGATATCTGGAAACTCCATCATATTAAGAAGTTTATAATGTTATGACCAAAATTATCCAGAAACCCAGAGCCCTTAAGGACTTGCGACTTTTAGAAAGGATGAAATGAGAATTGAGGTCAAAGGGCTGGTAAAACCATGATGTATAACTAAAATTTGGGGTCGTACCTCAGGCTACTGAAAAGTGCAGAGGGAACCCAGATTTTTCAGAGATGTTTGTGTGGACACAACGCTCACACACCAGACGCATGAGGCAAATGGATTCAAAAAGAAATGTTTTGACCTGGTACCAAGAAGACATCTCTAGGAGGTTGGAATGCGATCTAAAAAAAAATAAGTCATTCTGGAATTTCAGGAAAAACTAGCATAAAAAAAATTTTTAAAGGACAATGCTTTCAAGAATTAAGAAAAAAAATAAGCAAAAGAAACCCAGAAGAGTCATACTAACGCATCTAAAGTCTATGCCTAACTAAAGGAATGACTCGAAGGTACTCCTGTGAACTTGCTCCCTTGTGTGTGATTTGTCCCCACTCCCTTAAAAAGTTCTCATGCCTTAGTAAGGTTGGTAAAGTTGAACTCATATACTCTCCTCTGCAATCAATGAAAGCAAAAGAAGTGGTCTTGAGTCCTAGACATTAGTGCTAGAATTGTAGACTAAGATAGAAATGCCAAGGGTAGGGATGCTGATAATCTGAAACTGGGAGATCCAGGAATTCACTGAAGCTGAAATGTTCGAAGCTCAACAGTGAGTTAGCAATAAGGCAGGCAGGCAGGCAAGAGTCCAAAAGGACTGCACAGTGTGTCAAAGGGCAGGCAGAAGCAGTGAGTTAGGAATCAGGCAGACACATGGAAGGCAGAGCCTCACAGCTCCCGGAGATTCAGGCAAACACAGGGTCGGAAATCAAGCAGGAAGGCCAAAGCCAAGAAGGCATAACTATCACAGAGCAAAGGAAAGCAGATGGCCAAAGCCCTGGACAAGCAGCACAGGATGGGGAGTTTCACAGAGAGTGAAAGGAAAGGGCAAAATAGGTGAGCAAACAGATTTAGAGACATGTACAGATTTATAATATATTTGTGCCTGTATACGCACAAAACTAGCAAAAATGGAATATTGATTCTAACAAAATAACCCATTTAACACTGAATTCTGAAGCTTTCTGTTACTCTGCAATTGAATGTATGATTTAGTGAATGCAAACATTGTACTTTAGTGTCCACTTTCTCCTTCCTCAAATGAGGAAGCGACATAGATGCATAGCTCAAATGACCAATGATTTAAAATATTCATTTGAACAAGTTTTTTGCTGCTTCCTAAAGGATCACTGATATTTTCCAAAACTGAATGAATTCTTATACACATTGGGACCTTGGAGCTTATATAATTTTAAACTCATTTTGCCATACATCAGTTATTCATTCTGTGATCATTTATTTTAAGCACTCTTAGAGCAAAAATGAATGTCTAAAATTGTTTTTTGTTGTACCTGCTTTGACTGATACTGAGATTCTTAAGCCTTCCTGCAATTTCTTGCTTTATCTCTCAAAACTTGGTCTTTTTAAGAGATTTACATATATGTAAAAATAATAATTTTTATATTTAATGATTACATTTATGAGTAACTATTATTATAGGTAATCAATGAACATTGATGTTTCAGACCAAGATAAACAGTTGTGAATCAAGATCTGTAACATGATATACAGATAAAAATTTGAGACTTTTAAAACTTATAAATCATATTGATGAAAAGCTTTAAGCACAAACTTTAGGGTAAAAATTGCGATTGGACAGTTGTCTAAAGATGTAAAATACTTGCGGTTTTTCAAATTGGATTTTCAAAGTAAAATCTGTCCCTAAGAGTGGCTCTGATAAAAGGGCAAAACTGCATCTGTGTAGCTCCATGTCTCCTGTCTTTTCAGGTTTGTCATCAGATGGAAATATTTTCATAATAAATTGAAATTGTAAACTCAAAAAAAAAAAAACCTGAATGATTACAGTCAGACGTGACTAAGAGTTTTCATGAGCACACAGTTCTGAAATTCTAAATTTCTTCCCCCCGACACTCTTGTTCCTTGCACTTCTACACAGTTCTCAAATGTATATCTGTACCCATTCATTTAATGTGAAGAAAAAAATGGCTAAATAGAAATTAATATCATCATGGTTTTTATGGACATGCAAAAACTAAAGTATATATAAAGATATAAAACACCAAAGAGAAAAAACAAGAAGGACGCACTTGTGCTTTGGCCTGAAGAATTTATTTAAATATTTTAAATGTTAACATAACATAAGAGAAAGTTTCCCAAGCTAGGAATCAGAGACTGGGGTCCTATTTTCTGCTGTGCCAGCAAGTCGCTGTGCCTATTAAATTCTCAAGGTCACCGTTTCCTTATTTTTACTATAACTAAGATTATTTCTTTAGCTTTAACTTCTATGTTTCTAAGAAAGATTCCTCTAAGCATTCTAAAGGCTAAAGATTGAACTGCGTTCACCACAAACGCCATACATTGCCTTTCTCTGGAAGTCTTTAGCTATAAATTGAAAAACTCCAGATGGAACAAAGATTTAAATGTAAAATCCTGAAAACATAGAAGGACTAGAAAAAAATACATAGTCATACTTTATTATAATCTTGGAGTGAGGAAAACTAAATACTAAGAAACACCATTTTCACTGTATTTGACAAGGAAAATTGACTAGGAAACTTGAAAAGCTATTTATACAATTTTCTTCTAATGGAGCACTGTACACTGTACAGAATAGGTATTCAAAAATACTTGTTGAATAAATAAATGAATGAATGAATGTAGTGGAATTATACTTAAATTATATAATCAGAGAATTCTATCTAATTATGTAATTTATAATCTGTCTTCATCACCATCTACCTTGTTATTGATAGTAGTTTTAAATTAATACAAACAAGTTATGAAAACGATAAACAATATAGAAATGGCCTTCTTTTTCTTCACTGCATAATTTCCCATTGAACTGAAAAAATGTGATTTACACAGTCTGCTTCTTACTGGTGGATATTTGAATTATTTCTTATTTGTAATCTTCTTAACAAAGATATAATGTTCATTTTTTAAAACTTGAACAAGTATTTCTATAAGATAAATTCTAGGAGGGGAATTTATAGAAATACTTGAGGTGAGAAAGTATACACACACTTAAAACTGTAGTTCATATTACCAAGTTATTCTCCAAAATGTTATACCAATTTATATTCAAACCAGAAGTTTATGAGTATATTTGTTTCTCCACATCCTCACAAAATACTGGTGACACAAGCTTCAAGAATGGTCAATCTGAGAGGTGAAGAATTGTATCTCCTTATTGTTTAGTTTAAATATTTCTAACTATTAGTGAAATTGGAAACCTTTTCACTTTTAGTGACATTATAGTGATGTTACGTTTCTTCCAAGAATTTCTAGCTTATGTCTCTTGCCATTTTTCAATTGTGGTGCTTGTACCATATTTATTATTGATTTATAAGACCCCTTTGTAGATGAGGTAAACCAGTCTTTTGTCTTTAATCTGTGTTGCAGTTTTGCTAGCTTATGTTCAACTTCATTTACGGCATATTACGTCACATTTTGTTGCATAGAAATTTATAATCTCCATGTTGCTGTATTTATTATCTTGTCATGGTTTTTTGTTATGTTTAGAAAAGCTTTCCTCACTCTATGATTATAGTAAAATATAACTATAGATTTTTTTCTAGTCCTTCTATGTTTTCATGATTTTACATTTAAATCTTTCTTCCATCTGGAGTTTTCTAATTTATGTTTAAAGACTTCCAGCGAAAGACAATCTATGGCCTTTATGGTGAACACACTTCAATCTTTAGCCCCTGGTATGCTTGGAAGAATCTTTCTCAGAAACAGAATTTAAGAAAGGTTGAGCATATCAAATGTGTCAATTTACCTTCCCAAATACAATGAATTTCCATTCCCAAACACAGTGAAGATGATATTTCTTAGCATTTAAGAAAACTGAAGCAGGTAACATATCTAATATAACAGCAGAATTAATATTCAGTCTAAAAACCCAACCAAAAGAGTTGGGTTATGAGTATATTTGTTTCTCCACATCCTCACAAAATACTGGTGACACAACACAGGTAGAACTTCACCAGTTGGTTGTGAAAGATTAGTTATGCAGTTGGTTAGGAATGATGGTACTGTTGTTGCAGTACTCATGTTGTATTTTTACTAGGAATGTAGAGTTGGAAGAGAAAAAATATTGCCTCCCAATGTTTGCTGCTCTTAAAATTCTCAATTCTTTCTCCCATTACCTAACTTAAGAAGAAAAGATAAAAGAGAAATTTTCTGCAGCTCTATATTGCTCTGTTCTCATGCTGCTAATAAAGACATACCAGAGACTGGGTAATTTATAAAGAAAAAGAGGATTAATGGACTCACAGTTCCACATAGCTGGGGAGGCCTCACAATCATGGAGAAAGGCAAAGGACAAAGGCACGTCTTACATGGTGGCAGGCAAGAGAGCTTGTGCAGAGGAACTGCCCTTTATAAAACCATCAGATTTCATGAGACTTATTCACTACCACAAGAACAGTATGGGGGAAACCACTCTCATGATTCAATTTTCTCCACCTGGCCCCACTCTTGACATGTGGGGATTAGTAAAATTCAAGGTGAGATTTGGGTGGGATACAGCAAAACCATAACAAGCATTATGAATTAACATCAAGAAAAGAGAAATTTGGCAGGAATGAAAATCAGCCTGTATGTACTGGTTCATCTGAAGAGGTTGTTAACATATTGAAACTTTTTCCTCACAGTTGATAGGAAGCTACTGAAACTCTCATGCTTCTCACAGCCCTGACTGCCCTGCCTTCCCCCAGCATGCCCAGACCTCTCCATGGTACAGACACAAAGGGCCTAATTCTGGTCCCAGCAGAGGCATCCAGGACATTGCTGCAGGACTATGGCTAATGTCCTTCTGAAGGGTCAGCACATGCCCTAATCTCTTCCTTTTGAGTAGCCATTGACTTTGAGGACATTCAGAAGTCTCATAAGTAGTCACATCTCCACCATATTTGTCACCAGCTACCTCACTTTGGTGTTGGCAAATCTAAGTATCTGCAGCCATGACCATTCTCACATCTCCCAACTCCCACTGCTCTGTTGTGCCCCTTCACACTTGCCATCCTATAGCTACATGTGCAAGATAAAGATCGCTGATTCCCCCATGGCTTTGGCCAAAGCTTTGGATCTCCATATGTTACCCAATAGAGGATAAAATTTAGAAGAATTCTGTGGGATGAAAAGGACTTGAAAATGAATGAAGATTTTGGTCTTGTCTGTGACATATGCACTGATTACAAGAGAAAATCAAAGTTCTAGTTACTTGATCTGTTGTATAGAATTAACATTAATTTTTGTTATATTACTTAATCATTTATGTTATTGACTTTTCTGTTCTAGTCCTGCTTTTCTCAGTTTTCAGTACGATTTTGGACGTTTTTCTCTACATATTCACTTTCCTACCTAAGATTCCCTTTACAACTCTGCTCTGTCTTCTCATTAAAATTCAGAGTCCACACCAAGCTTCTACTTTGATTGACTGAGTGATTTTTTCCTGTGCCCATGTTTGGCAGGCATTTAATAGTAATTAAAGATTTCTCTAATATGTTCATAGGGCTCTCTGATAATCAAGAAGAAGTCACTTTGATTGATAGTCTCTGTCATGAAAATAGAAAGGCAGGACCTCTTAACAAATTTCCATGAAGAAAAATTCAGTAGATGAAATGTTCCAAATGAATGTCCAGACATACTTAACCTCAAAGCAGAATTATTTGAAAGGCCAATGTGAGCTTTTATTGTCTGGCAACGATATCAAAGTGAAGCCCGGAATATGGATTCTGAGCATCCTAAGGCCTGAAAAAGCCCCTGGGGTTCCCTTTCTCCTACTCATTAGCTGGAACTCTTTGGTGGTGTGAAGGATCAACTAGAAATCTATAGCAATAAAGCTGGTGCTGAGGCTGTCCTGGCAGGTGAGAAATTAAGACAGGAAGTGAATCCTGTGGGCTTTAAAATAATGAGGAGAAATGGCAAAACCAACAGCAGTGGGTAAAGGGCATGAACAACTAAAGAGTCTCCATGGGTCATCATTGGAAAACATATTATTTCAGTATATATTCTCTTGATTTAGTGCCTGCTGCCTGAGGTCTGTGGTACCACTAAAGCTAATAAATCATTTCTCTGGATGACAGCCTGAGCACCTGTGTTTTATCATACAGCAGGAAACCTTGTAAATTACCAGGAGAAGCAACTGGTGACCATGCAGCAGAGCTATGAGAATCAGTCAAAGCCTCAGTCCATTAAGCCCATTTCATTTTATTTGCAGGTACATTAAAAGAAATAGGGAGCACTGCAAAAAGATGAGCCCCAGCCTTTTGATTAGTGTATAATGAGAACGACACAGGGCTGCTAGAGCAGAATCCTAATGGCCTACAGATGGAATATGTCCACAATGGGACCCCACCTGCCTCTGTCTACCCATTGGCTATGTTGCAATTTAGCCTATAAAAGCAATAGGACAACTTCAAGGGAGTAAGTTTGTAGTAGGCACAGAAACCTTGCTTTGTGCTTTTGTGCTTTTGAGCTTTGTTTTGTAGAGAAAGTTGGCTTATGAATTCACTGGACGTGTCACACTTTTCAAAACTTTTGATTCTGTAACTTCCTCTCAAACAAATTGGCCAGGAAAAAAAATGTGCTAAAGTGAGATATCTTTTTCTTAGCAAATTTTTCTAAGTGAATAAGCTCACTCTTTTTTCACCCCTCAATTTTTATTCAAACTTCTTCTATCTGGTTATGATAACCTGTATTCTTGAGTATTCATTAGAGCTGGAAGTAAAAGGAAGCCTAAGACTAAAGGATATGTTTTTACAACTCACTTTAATGGAGTCATCAGCCACAATATACACATCCACATGAGACAACCTCTAACGGTGCTTTTCTCCAAGCACTTCTTGATTTACGGTCTCCTGTCTGTCATTTCAAGCAAATCCAGTGCTCCTAACTTAGGTCAAGATGACATTTAACTGTGTAGGGCTAAGTTTCAGATTACCTAGAAATCATTTATCTGAATTGAATGTATGCACTGCTATTCGGAGGTCACACTTATTTACATGGAATATTTCTGAATACACCTGACAGGCTTCCAAATATAAGACCACAGCCCAAATTTCAGCTTGCCAACTTGTAGAAGAGAGGAGAAAGGGAATTGTGATTATCTCTAATTGTCTGTATTTGTAATAGCCAGATGGCCATAATTCAGCAAAACCAACAGCTCTCTCTTCCCTGTCATTCCTTTGAAAGCTGTGAGCTGGACAGGGAGGGAAGATAAACATAGATCTTCCCTTCAAACATTCCCTGCCCACTGACTATGGAGAGTAATTCCTGCAAGCACAACTCATAGGAAGATTCCCTCTTTGTGCCTCTCTGTAAGTCACTGTTCAGCCAGTTCTCAATTATTCAGGGAGAAGGCCTGCCATATTCTGGATAATTTTCATTCTGTGTATCCTTCATACTCTATCATCGTCTCTTCACATGCTGTCTGCTATTTCTAGTTGTGTCATTGCTGGGGTGACAGAAAGAAGCATTACCCATCAGCAACCCCCTCCCCACCAGCTGTGCCAACAGCACATCAAGCAGGGTTGCTAGAGTAAGTACTCCATCAAACTTCCACTTCTCAAGGCTGTCAGCCCAAGATGATGTATCTACAAAGGGATTTCAGAGCTTTATAAGCAAATAATGCCTCCTCCAAAGCACATATTAACTGAGCAAAAAATACGCCTTAATTCAGCATGTGCATTTGCATATTTACACAGAAGCCCCTGCTGCTTATTTGCCTAAGATAATGAAAGAGCATCCAAGGAACCTTCTCCACTGGAGCCTAAGCACATGCAGAAAACATGATGGGTTGATTTAAAGTTTTAATTTCCTTTTTCTGGGATAAGGAAGAGTCATCATTTGATTAACTTAGATGACTCACAGTATCTGGAAAAAGAGGGAGTAGCCCAGCATAGAAACTCCTATAAATCTTTTTTTTTTTTTTTTTTGGCAGTGCTGCTGATTTATTTCAGTATGTTCTACCAAATTTTCTTCAGTATTAAATGAGGTTAATACCTGTAAAAAGACAGTAAAGCCTAAATGATATGAAAAGCTGTGAAGTTCAAAAAGCTTTGTAGCAACATGAAACCCTAACACTGCAAATCGGATTCATAGGATATCTACTCCCAACTTTCACAGAACAAATCATGTGGTTTCTCATAATCACCCTAGGTTACTACCCCGGAGCAGCATCAAGAAAACTCACCTTTCTAGATTTTCCCATCATTAAGAATTTTTCTTTCAGCAAAATATTCTTGAAGGTGATTTTAGTGGTACATCCTAATCAGGCATGTCCCCTTAAATCCTTTTTAGATTGATAAGCAATAGAAATAATCAGATGTTCAACACTTCTTTTTCTCGGGTAAATTAAGCTTAGCTTTTTATAAACATTAGCCACTGAAATTTTAAAACTATGTATTTGTTTAATTGACACATTATAATTTCACATATTTATAGGATACAATTTGGTGTTTCAATACATATCTCTGTTGTATAGTGATCCAATCAGGGTAGTGTATCCATTACCTCACACATTTATCCTTTCTTTGTGGTAAGAATATTCAAAAGCTTCTCTTCTAGCCGTTTTGTAATATACAATATTCTACTGTTAAGTATAGTCAACCTCATTAAAACACCAGAATTTTCCTTCTAATTAAAATTTGTACCTTGTACAAAATTTGTACTTTGTACCTAATGGCCGACTTTTCCCATCGTACCTTCCCTGTTTCTCTCCTAAGTCTCTGGTAGCAACTGTTCTACTCTGCTTCTAAGATATCAACTTTGTTGTTTCTTTTAAGAGTCCATATGAATAAGATAATATGGTATCTGTCTTGCTGTGTCTGGCTTATTTCACTGATATGATTGGGCTATGTCCCCATCCAAAATTTCATCTTGAATTGTAATCTCCATAATCCCCATAATCCTCATGTGTCAAGGTTGGGACAAGGTAGAGATAAGTGGATCATGGGGTCGGTTTTCCCCATGCTGTTCTCATGACAGTGAGTCGCACGAGATCCGATGGTTTTATAAGTGTCTGGCATTTCCCCTGCTTGCACTCACTCCATCCTGCTGCCCTGTGAAGAGGGTGCCTGCTTCTCCTTTGCCTTCCACCATAATTGTAAGTTTCCTGAGGCCTCCCCAGCAATGCAGAACTGTGAGTCAATTAAACCTCTTTCCTTTATAAATTACCCAGTCTTGGGTATTTCTTCACAGCAGTTTGAGAATGGGCTAATTCATTCACTCAATATGATGTCCTCCAGGTGCATCCATGTTGTCAAAAATTACAGGATTTTATTTTTTTTATGCCTGAATAGTATGCCATTGTGTATATATACCACACTTTCTTTATCCATTCATCCACAGATGGACACTTAGATTCATTCTATATCTTGGCTACTGTAAATAGTGTTGCAATAAACATTTCTTTTGAATATATACCAAATAGGATTGCTGGATCCTATTTCTGTTTTTAATATTTTGAGGAATCTCCAGACTGTTTTTCCATGATGGCTGTACTAGTTTACAATCCCACCATCAATTTATAAATATTCCCTTTTCTCCACATCCCTTCCAACACTTGTTTTATTTTGTCTTTTTGATAAAAGCTATTCTAACTGGGGTGAGGTGGTATCTCAGTGTAGTTTTGATTTGCATTTCTCTGATGATTAACAATGTTAGCATTTTTTACATGTCTATTGGCCATTTGCATGTCTTCTTTTGAGAAATATCTATTAAGGTATTTTGCCATTTTTAAATTGGGTTGTTTATTGCTTTTTACCATTGTGTTGCTTAAGTTTCTTATATATTCTGGATCTTGACACCTTGTCAAAAGTGTAGTTTACAAACATTGTCTTCTATTCTGTAGGCTGCCTCTCACTGTATTAATAGTTTTCTTTGTTGTGCAAAAGCTCTTTTAGTTTGATGTAATCCCATTTGTCTATTTTTGCTTTTATTGCCTGTGCTTTTGAAGGCTCATTTTTAAAAATTCTTGCCCAGACCAATGACGTGAAGCATTTCCCCTACGTTTTCTTCTAATAGTTTTATGGGTTTGGGTTTTATGTTTAAGTCTTTAATTGATTTTGAGGTAATTTTGGTATATGGTGAGAAGTAGAGGGTCTAGTCTCATTTTTCTGCATGTGGCTATCCAACTTTCCCAGTACCATATATTGAAGAGACTGTCTCTTCCCCAATGCCTGTTCTTGGTCCCTTTGTCAAAAATTAGTTGGGTGTCAGTGCTTGGATTTATTTCTGGGCTCTCTATTCTGTTTCATTGGTCTATGTATCTGTTTCTATGCCAGTACTATACTATTTTTATTACTATAGCTTTGTAGTATATTTCGAAATCAGCTAGTGTAATGACTCCAGTTTTGTTCTTTTTGCTCAGGATTGCTTTGACTATTTGGGGTCTTTGGGGTTCCATATAAATTTTAGGACTGTTTTTTCTATTTCTCTAAAGAATGCCAGGCTGGGCACGGTGGCTCACGCCTGTAATCCCAGCACTTTGGGAGGCTGAGGTGAGAGGATCACGAGGTCAGGAGATTGAGACTATCCTGGCTAACATGGTGAAAGCCCGTCGCTACTAAAAAATACAAAAAATTAGCTGGGCATGGTGGCGGGTGCCTGTAGTCCCAGCTACTCAGGGAGCTGAGGCAGGAGAATGGCGTGAACCCGGGAGGTGGAGCTTGCAGTGAGCCAAGATCGCACCACTGCACTCCAGCCTGGGCGACAGAGTGAGACTCCATCACAAAAAAAAAAAAAAAAAAAAAAGAATACCATTACTGTTTTGATAGAGATTGCATTAAATCTATACATTGCTTTGGGTAGCATGGAATATCTTTTCCTTTATGTGTATCCTTTTAAATTTCTTTCACAGTTTTCCTTGCAGCAATTTTTTTACCTCCTTTTTTCCTGGGTTTCTTCTTTTTTTGTAATCACTGTAAATGGAATTTTTTTCTTAATGTTTTTCAGATACTTCACTATTAACATATTGAAATGCTACTGATTTTTGTATGTTGATTTTGTATCCTGCAACTTTACTGAACTTACTAGTTCTAACAGTTTTTTGGTGGAATCTAGGGTTTTCTATATATAAGTTCCTGTCATCTGCAAACAAGGACAATCTGACTTCCAATCTGGAAGCTTTTTGTTTCTTTATTTTGCCTAATTGCTCTAGCTAGGACTTCAAGTACTATGTTGAATAAAGTGGTGAAAGTGAGGTGGTCTTACAGGACAAATTTTCAGCTTTTCCTCACTCAGTATGATGTTAGCTGTAGGTCTGTCATATATAGCCTTTATTGTGTTGAGATACATACCTACAACACATTTGTTGAGAGCTTTTATCATGAAGAGATGTTGGATTTTGTCAAATGCTTTTTCTGCATCTATTAAAATTATCACATAGTTTTTGTCTTTCTGTTAATGTGGTATATCACATTTATTGATTTGCATTTTAGACTATCCTTGCACCCACAGGATGAATATTACCTGATTAGAGTGAATGATCTTTTTAATGTGCTGTTGAATTCAGTTTGCTAATATCTTGTTGGGAATTTTTGCATCTATGTTCATCAGGGATAGCAAAGGGAAAGGCATCAAGATTAGAAATAGAGAAATAAAACTGATATTTATTTGCAAATTAAATAATTATCAGTGTAAAAAATCAAAAAGAATCTAAAGAAAACTTCTAGAACTAATAAATAAATTTAGCAAGGTAAGGATATGAGGTCAAAATACAAAAAGTCAACTGTTTTTCTGTATACTAGCACCAGACAATTGAAAAGAGCAATTTAAAAATCAATGCCATTTACAAGAGTTCAAAAATCAAGACATTGTAGTATTAAAATAATGATGAACAAATAGGTGAATGGAACAGAATGGAAGTATTCAGAAATAGACCCACATATGTAGCATCAGTACATTTTAGACAAAAACCTAAGACAAAACAATTGAGAAAGGAAAGTCCTTTCAATAAGCAGCACTGGAATAGCTGTATAAATGTATTTAAAAGAGAAAAAGAATCCTGACTCCTTCATCACACTATGCATAAAATTATTTTGAAATAAATTATACAGACCTGAACTTAAAACTAAAAGCCTAAATATTTCAGAATAAAAAATAGAATATTTATATTAGTTGAAGTAAGAAAAGATTTCTTAGGTGACAAAAAAAGTACTAACCATAAAGTAATAACTTCATCAAAATTTAAAAGTTATCAAGAGATTCCCTTGGGAAAATGAAAAAACAAGCCACAGACTGGGTAACAATTTTGCAATGATCTTATCTGACAAAGGACTTATATCCCAAATATGTAAAGAGCTCAATAATAAGAAGACAACCCATTTTTAAAATGGGAAAGTTTTGAATACACACTTTGCCAGGAAGATAGAGTGGCCAATAAGCACAAAAAAAAAGGATCTTCAACATCATTAGTCATAAGAGAACTGCAAAAATCAGAATAAAGTACCACTTCACACTCACTGCAATGTTAACATTTTAAAAGGTTTTCATGAACTCATAGCAGAAATGTAGAATGGTACAACCACATTGGAAAACTGTTTGGCAGTGTCTTAAATTAAACATATACTTAACCTATGGCCTAACAATTCCATTACTAGGTATTTAACAAAAAGAAATGAAAACATTTCTTTGTGTCCACACAAAGACTTATACAAACATGTTCACAGCAGCTATATTAATGATAGCCAAAACTGAAAAACATCACATAAGCTATCAACAGGAAAAAATGGATAAGCAAAATGTTGTATATCATATAATGGAATACAAATCAGTAATCTTTTAAAACAAAATACTGACATGTGCAACAACACAAATGAACATCAAAAACATTATGCTTGGACATAGATACAAAAATATATAATCAATTATTACATCATACAAACAAAGTTAAAGAACATTCAAAATGTTCTAATCTACAGTACTAGAAACCAGAGGAGTGTTTGCCTATCAAGGGGTAGAGATTAATTGGAAAGGGCCTCTATAGAGCTTTCTGAGCTGGTGGAGATGTTGTGTATCTTATTTGGGTAGTTGGTCATATGAACAACTGTTGGTCACATTTGTCTAAATCATTCACCTGCAGCTTTAGGATTTGTAATTCTTATCCCAAAAAAAAAGAGAAAAATGAAAGAAAAATAATCACATGGAAAATACTGAATATTAATTCTATATTGTCCATACCTCAAAACATAAAGTATCATCTAATTGCAAACTAATAATCTACTTAAGTACTCACTGAACACTTGCTATGTGCTAGGAAACTTGGTGGTGGTGTGTGTGTGTGTTTTAAGAGACAGGGTCTCGCTCTGTCACCCAGGCTAGAGTGCAGTAGCATGATCATGGCTCACTGCAATCTCAAACTCCTGGTCTCAAGAAATCTTCCCACCTCGGCATCCCGAGTAGCTAGGACTAAAGGAGCATGCCACTGTAGCCAGCTAATTTATTTTTTTTAATTTTTTTGTAAAGACAGGGTCTCAGCATGTTGCTTAGGCTGGTCTTGAACTCCTAGCCTCAAGCAATCCTTCCACCTCAGCCTCCCAAAGTACTAGGATTACAGGCATGAGCCACCACACCTGGCCACTAGCAACCTTTTTGAATGAGCACAGTTAATGAATTTTTCTCATTTTATCATCGGGGTAACCTATGAGGGTACATTTTATTATCATCACCCCACTTTACAGATGAAGAAACTGAGTCCTGGAGAGAGTAAATAATTCACTCAGGGTCACAGAACTAATAGGTAAAAACCTATACCTGACCATCTAACAGTAGAAGCCAGGCTCTTAAACAACATGGATCATCTGAAAAGTACTTGTTTGGGCTTTGGAAGGCTTCAATACCTATGCTTGAATTGATGAGAAATGTTGATGGGAAAAAGATATATTGTATCTAAAAGATGAAGGATTTAAGAGAAATAGAATGTCTTAGGTTAGTGAATTCAAGGTAACATTAGTCTTGATGATAATGATAGCTAAAATTCATTGAGCACTAACTATATATCAGACATTTTCCAAGCACTTTATGAATTTTAATCATTAATGCCTCACAATGGGCCTATTAAGCAGGTCTGATTATTCTCATTTTTATAGATGAGGAAACTAAGGCAGAGAGTTTTAGTCATTTGGTAGAGATACACAGCAAGTAAGTGGTAGAAATCAGAAAGACATTGGGGAACAGACAAAATAAGAAAAGGAATCGGCAGGATATTCATATTCCTGCAAACTCAAAGATGATATAATACTTCCCAAGAACACAGTTGGAAGTTAGCTGTAAGAATGTCATAACGAGAAAAGCCACAAGCAAAGTGAGTAGAGAGTAATCAGAGACAGTTACCCATGTTTCAGCTATAGCTACCTTAAGAAAAGGCCTAAGAAGGTGCCTGAAAGGGGTTTGTGCATTGGATAAAGAAGGCTTCCTCAACAGACGGTCTCAAGTTGTACATCGTGATTTAATTCTCTCTGACAGAACTACTTGGGTACCACGGACACATCGTAGGTCAGACTGACATGGTCTTAGGCTTTAAAGGAAATAACCTAGACATCTGTGAATTTACATAACTTGTTCTATGGATGGCTACTGCATAAAGTGAAATCCCAGATTAAGGGAAGAGTGAAAAGCATATTCTCCCCATGTTGCGGCTTGCAGTTTTGGCATACTGCTGCCATGACTCTCTCCCTGGCCTTGCAGCCATCAAAGCATCTTGAGACCACTCAGTGCGGTGAAGATAGGTAGATGGGAACAAATAAGAACACGAGGTTGTCTTTTATTATGAAACTATCAAATAATCCCAATCAAATACAACATTTGAATCAAAAAAGCAAATGCTACGAAAATCTGCCTTAGGTGGGGATGCAAAACAGGTCATCTTCCCCCATCCAGCTCAGCTCTACCTCCTTCCTTGCTGGGATGAGCTGTATTACATCTCTGAGGGCTGATATTCACCAGGAAGCTTGGCAGCAAAGGAGCCAAGTCCAAAGTGACTCTTAATAGCTGAACAGGAAGACAGATGAACTTCAAGCCTTTTCCTTACCCTCTATGCTAGGCTGCAGGCTGAGGAAGAGAGATCAGCTCGGTAGGCAGATGGAAGCAATGCAGCCTTTCTCAGCTTTCCCATTTCAAGAATACTGGGTGAACATAATAATTTTCATATATACATATATACTAACAGAGAAATGAGAAGCTAGAAAATCATATCCAGAGGTAAATATTAAATTTTAATAGGCTAACTATAAGCATATACTACAGGAACAGAATTGAAGAAACATCTGGGACAGGCATTTTTTATCTTTATTGGGAAATTTGACAGACTGTTTTTTACCAAGTTGGGAAAAAAACAGTATGAAATGATGGTTTTTAGTGTACTAGTTTTTATTTCTGTGTTTCTAAAATACATGGAAATTCATGTCTTGAAAAAGCACACAGTAACAACTGTGATTAAGAAAATACAGTATATTTTGCTTTGATCATTGCAAGGATGAAAAAACACTACCGCAATTATCTTTTAACCACTACAGATCCCTGATATAACCAGGTATATCTTTAATATAAAACATATGAGTGTTTTCTCTGTAAA